>NC_000003.12:90190034-90370068 GCF_000001405.40 Homo sapiens | reverse complement strand
GGCAATCATCAAAAAGTCAGGAAACAACAGGTGCTGGAGAGGATGTGGAGAAATAGGAACATTTTTGCACTGTTGGTGGGACTGTAAACTAGTTCAACCTTTGTGCAAGTCAGTGTGGTGAGTCCTCAGGGACCTAATACTAGAAATACCATTTGACCCAGCCATCCCATTACTGGGTATATACCCAAAGGATTATAAATCATGCTGCTATAAAGACACATGCACATATATGTTTATTGCAGCACTATTCACAATAGCAAAGACTTGGAACCAACCCAAATGTCCAACAATGATAGAATGGATTAAGAAAATGTGGCACATATACACCATGGAATGCTATGCAGCCATAAAAAATGATGAGTTCATGTCCTTTGTAGGGACATGGATGAAACTGGAAATCATCATTCTCAGTAAACTACCACAAGAACAAAAAACCAAACACTGCATATTCTCACTCATAGGTGGGAATTGAACAATGAGAACATATGGACACAGGAAGAGAAACATCACACTCTGGGGACTGCTCTGGGGTGGGGGAAAGTGGGAGGAATAGCATTGGTAGATATTCCTAATGCTAGATGACGAGTTAGTGGGTGCAGCGCACCATTATGGCACATATATACATATGTAACTAATCTGCACATTGTGCACATGTACCTTAAAACTTAAAGTATAATAATAGAAAAAATATATATACAGAAGAATTCTGAGAAACTTCTTTGTGATGTGTGCACTGTACTCACAGGCATAAACTTTTCTTTTGATTGAGCATTTTGGAAACAGTCTTTTTGTATTATCTGCCAATGGATATTTTGAGCGATTTGGGACCTAAAGTGGAAAAGGAAACATTTTCACATAAAAACTAGACAGAGGCATTCTGAGAAACTTCTTTGGATGTGTGCATTCATCTCACATAGTTGAACATTTCTTTTGATTGAGTAGTTTTGAAACACACTTTTTGTAGAATCTACAAGTAGATATTTGGAGCGCTTTGAGGTCTCTACTGGAAAAGGAAATATCATCACATAAAAACTAGACAGAAGCATTCTGCAAAACTACTTTGTGATGTGTGCCTTCAACTCACAGAGTTGAAACTTTCTTTTGATTGAGCAGTTTTGAAACACTCTTCTTGTAGAATCTGCAGGTGGATATTGGGAGAGCTTTGAGGCCTGTGGTGGGTAAGGAAATATCTTCACTTAAAAACTAGACTGAAGCATTGTGAGAAACTTCTTTGTGATGTGTGCATTCAACCCACAGAGTACAACCTTTTTCTGACCGAGCAGTTTTGAAACAGTCCTTTTGTAGAATCTGCAAGTGGATATGTAGAGGTCTTTTCAGGCTCTAGTGTAAAGGGAAATATCTTCAAATAAAAACTAGACAGAAGCATTCTGAAAACTTCTTTGTGATGTGTGCGTTCAACTCACAGAGTTGAACTTTTCCTTTCCTTGAGCAGTTTTGATACATGCTTTTTAAGAATCTGCATGTGGGTATTTGGAGCGCTTTGCGGCCTCTAGTGCAAAGGGAAATATCTTCACATAGAAAATAGACAGAAACATTCTGAGAAACCTCTTTGTGATGAGTGCATTCATCTCACAGAGTTGAATATTTCTTTTGATTGAACAATTTTGAAAAACTCTTTTTGTAGAACCAGCAAGTGGATATTCGGAGCACTTTGTGGCTTATAGTGGAAAAGGAAATATCTTCACAGAAAAACTAGACAGAAACATTCTGTGAAACTTCCTTCTGATGTGTGCAGTCATCTCACAGAGTTGAAATTTCTTTTGATTGAGCAGTTTTGAAACACTTTTTTTGTAGACTCTGCAGGTGGATATTTGGAACCCTTTGAGGCCTATGTTGGAAAAGGAAATATCTTCACATAAAAACTAGACAGAAGCATTCTGAGAAACTTCTTGGTGATTTGTGAATTCAACTCACGGAGTTGAATCTTTCTTTTGATTGAATAGCTTGGAAACAGTCATTTTGTAGTATCTGCAAAAGAATATTTGGAGCGATTTGAAGCCTATACTGGAAAAAGAATTATCTTCACATAAAAACCAGACAGAATCATTCCGAGAAACTTCTTATTGATGTGTGCATTCAAAACACAGAGCTGAATCTATCTTTTGCTTGAGCAGTTTTGAAACACTCTTTTTGTAGAATCTGCAAGTGGATATTTGGAGTGCTTTGAGGCTTATGGTTGAAAAGGAAATACCTTCACATAAAAGCTAGACAGAAGCATTCTCAGAAACAACTTTGTGATGTGTGCATTCAACTCATAGAGTAGAGCCTTTCTTTTGATTGAGCAGTTTTGAAACACTCTTTTTGTAGAATCTGCAGGTGGATATTTGGAGCAATTTGAGGCCTATAGTGGAAAAGGAAATATCTTCACAGAAAAACTACACAGAAGCATTCTGAGAAACTTCTTTGTGATGTGTGCATTCAGCTCACAGAGTTGAACCTTTCTTTTGATTGAGTAGTTTTGAAATACTCTTTCTGTAGTATCTTCAAGTAGATATTCGGATCGCTTTGCGGCCTCTTGTGGAAAAGGAAATAAATTCACATAAAAACTGGACAGAAGAGTTCTGAGAAACTGCTTTGTGTTGAGTGGATTTTTCTCACAGTGTTCAAACTTTCTTTTGATAGAACAGTATTGAAACACTCTTTTTGTAGAATGTGCAATTGGATATTTGAAGCACTTTGCAGCCTATAGTGGAAAAGCAAATATCTTCAAGTAAAAACTAGACAGAAGTATTCTGAGAAACTTCTTTGTGATATGTGCATTCATCTCACAGAGTTGAAGTTTTCTTTTGATTGAGCAGTTTTGAAACTCTCTTATTGTAGAATCTGCAATTGGATATTTGGAGAGCTTTGAGTCCTCTGGTGGAAAAAGGAATATTTTCACATTAAAACTAAACAGAAGCATTCTGAAAAACTTTGTGATGTGTGCATTCAACCCACAGACATGAACATTTCTTTTGATTGAGCAGTTTGGAAATAGGCTTTTTGTAGTATCTGCAGATGGATATTTGGAGCACTTTGAGGCCTATATTGGAACAGGAAATATCTACTCATAAAATCTGGACAGACACTTTCTGAGAAACTTCTTTGTGTTGTGTGCATTCATCACACAGAGTTGAACATCTCTTTTGATTGTGCAAGTTGGAAACAGTCTTTTTGGAGAATCTGTAAAGGGATATTTGTGATCTCTTTGTGGCCAATTTTGAAAAAATGAAATGTCTTTACTTAAAAACTAGACAGAAGCTTTCTGAGAAACACCTTTTTGATGTGTGCATTCATCTCAAAATGTTGAAACTTTCTTTGAATTGAACAGTTTGCAAGCAGTCTTTTTGTATTATCTCCAAAGGGTATATGAAGGCAGTTTTAGGCCAGTGGTGAAAAAGGAAATATCTTCACATAAAAAGTAGACAGAAGCTTTCTGAGAGACTTCCTTGTGATGTCTGCCATCATCACACAGAGTTGAACATCTCTTTTGATTGAGCAGTTGGGAAACTGTCTTTTTGGAGAATCTGTAAAGGGATATTTGTGAGAGGTTTGAGGCCTGCTGTGAGAAAGAAAATATATTCATAAAAAAACTACAGAGAAGCATTCTGAAAAGTTTCTTTGTGATGTATTCATTCGTGTCACAGAGTTGAACCATTCTTTTTAATGAGCAGTTTGGAGACAGTCTTTTTGTAGAATCTGCAAAGTGATATTTGTGAATGCTTTGTGTCGTATAGTGAAAAAGGAAATATCTTCATATAAAAACAAGACAGAAGCTTTCTGAGAAACTTTTTTGATGTGAGCATTCATTTCATGGAGTTGAAGCTTACTTTTGATTGAGCAGTTTGGAAAGAGTCTTTCTGTAGGATCTGCAATAGGATATATAAAGGCGGTTTTAGGCCTATGGTGAAAAAGGAAACATCTTCACATACAAAGTAGACAGAAGCCCTCTGAGAAACTTCGTTGTGATGTGTGAATTAATCTCACAGAGTAGAACTTTTCTTTTGATTGAGCAGGTTGGAAACCCTCTTTTTGTATAATCTGTGAGGGATATTTGTGAGTGGTTTGAGGGCTATGGAGAAAATGGAAATATCTTCACATAAAAACTACACAGAAGCTTTCAGAGAAACTTCTTTGTGATGTGCGCATTCATCTCACAGAGTTGAAACTTTGCTTTGATAGAGCAATTTGGAAACAGTCTTTTTGTGGAATCTGCAAAGGGATACTTCTAGGAGATCTGAGGCCTATGGTGAAAAAGGAAATATATTCACATAAAAATTAGACAAAAGCTTTCTGACAAACTTATTTGTGATGTGTGCATTTATTTCAGAGAGTCAAAGCATTCTTTTGATTGAGCAGTATGGAGACGGACTTTTTGTAGAATCTGCAGTGATATTTGTGAATGCTTTGGGGGTTATGGTGAAAAAGGAAATATCTTCACATAAAAACTAGATTGAAGATTTCTGAGAAACTTCTTTGTGATGTGTGCCTTCATCTCACAGACTTGAAACTTTGTTTTGATTGAGCAGTATAGAAACAGTCTTTTTGGAGAATCTGTAAAGGGATATTTGTGAGTGCTTTGAGGCATATTGTGAAAAAGGAAATATCTTCACATAAAAACAAGAGAGAAGGTTTCTGAGAAACTTCATTGTGATGTGTGTATTCATATCACAGATTTGAACCATTCTATTGATTGAGCAATTTGGAAACTGTCTTTTTGTGGAATCTGCAAAGGGATATATGTAGGCTGTTTGAGGCCTGTTGTGAAAAAGGATATATCTTCACCTAAAAACTAGATAGAAGCTATCTAAGTAATTCCTTCATGATGTGTGCCTTCACCCCACAGATTTGAAGCATTCTTTTGATTGAGCAGTTTGGAAACAACCTTTTCTGGAATCTGCAAAGGGACATTTTTGAGCACTTTGTGGCCTATTGTGAAAAAGGAAATATCTTCATATAAAAACTAGAGTGAAGAGTTCAGAGAAACTTATTTGTCATGTGTTCATTCACCTCACAGATTTGAACCTTTCTTTTGATTGAGCAGTTTGGGAACAGTGTCTTTTTAGAATCTGCAAATGGACATTTAGAGTGATTTGAGGCCTATGATGATAAAGGAAATATCTTCACATAAAAACTAGACAGAAGCATTCTGAGAAACTTTTTTGTGATGTGTGCATTCATCTCACAGAGTTGAACCTTTCTTTTGATTGAGCAGTTTTGAAGCACTCTTTTTGTACAACTTGCATGTGGATATTTGAAATGCTTTGAGGCCTGTTGTGGAAAAGGAAATGTCTTCTCATAAAAACTACACAGAAGCATTCTGAGAAACACCTTTGTGATGTGTGCATTCATTTCACAGATTTGAAGATTTCTTTTGATGCAGCAGTTTGGAAAGAGTCTTTTTATAGTGTCTGCAGAAGGATATTTTTGACCAGAATAAGGCCTATGGTGAAAATGGAAATATCTTCACATAAAAACCAGAAACAAGCATTCCGAGAAACTCCATTGTGATGTGCACATTCATTTCACCGAGTTGAAACTTTCTTTTGATTGAGCAGTTTGGAAATGCTCTTTTTGTTGAATCTGCAAATGGATATTTGGAGTGCTTTGAGGTCTATGGTGAAAAGGAGATATCTTCACTTAAAAAAAAGACAAAAGCATTCTGAGAAAGTTCTTTGGGATGTGTGCATTCACCTCCCAGAGTTGAACCTGTCTTTTGGTTGGGCAGTTTGGAAACAGTCTTTTTGTAGAATCTGCAAATGGATATTTGGAGTGCTTTGAGGCCTATGATGAAATAGGAAATATCTTCACATAAAAACTAGACAGAAGCATTCAGAGAAACTTTTTCATGATGCCAACCTTCATCTCACAGTGTTTAACCTTTCTTTTGATTGAGGAGATTGGAAGCAGTCTTTTTCTACAATCTGTAAATGGATATTTCAGAGCTGTTTGAGGCCTATGGTGAAAAAGAAATATCTAGTCATAAAAACTAGATAGAAGGATTGTGAGTAACTTATTTGTGATGTTTGCATTCATCTCACAGTGTTGTACCTTTCTTTTAATTGAACAGTTTGGAAACAGTCTTTTTGTAGAAACTGTGCAGGGATATTTGTGAGCCCTTTTTGACCTATGGTGAAATAGGAAATATCTTCTCATAAAAACTAGAGAGAACATTCCTGAGAAACTACTTTGTGATGTGTGCTTTAATCTCACAGAGTTGAACTTTTCTTTCGATTGAGCAGTTTGTAAACAGTCTTTTTGTAGAGTCGGCAAATGGATATTTGGAGCTCTTTGAGGACTATGGTGAAAAAGGAAATATCTTCATATATAATCTAGAAAGAAGCATTCTGAGAAATTTCGTTGTGATGCCTGCATTTTTCTCACAGAGCTGAACTTTTCTTTTGGTTCAGCAGTTTGCAAACAGTCTTTTTGTAAAATCAGCAAAGAGATATTTCCAAGGCATTTGAGGCCTATGGTGAAAAAGAAGTATCTTGACATAAAAACTTGACAGAAGCTCTCTGAGAAACTTCTTTGTGAAGTGTGTTTCATCTCACAGAGTTGAACCTTTCTTTTCATTGAGAAGTTTGGAAACAGTTTTTTCATAGAATCTGCAAAGGGATATTTGTGAGTCGTTTATGCTGTATTGTGAAATAGGAAGTATCTTCACATAAAAACTAGACAGAAGCATTCTGGGAAAGTTCTTTGTGATGTGTGCATTCATCTCACAGAGATGAACTTTTGTTTTGATTGAGCAGTTTGGAAACACTCTTTTTGTAGAATCCGCAAATGAGTATTTGGACCGCTTTGTGGCCTATGGTGAAAAAGGAAATATGTTCACCTAAAAACTAAATGAAAGCTTTCTGAGAAACTTCTTTGGGATGTATGTTTTCAACTCACAGATTTGAACACTTCTTTTGACTGAGCAGGGTGGAAAAAGTCTTTTTGTAGAATCTGCAAATGGATATAAGGAGCGCTTGGAGGCCTGTGGTGAAAAAGGAAATACCTTCTCATAAAAACTAGACAGAAGCATTCTGAGAAACTTATTTGTGATGTGTGCATTCATCTCACAGAGTTGAACGTTTCTTTTGGGGGAGCAGTTTGGAAACGGTCTTTTTATAGAATCTGTAAATGGATATTTGGAGCACTTTGATGCCTATGGTGAAAAAGGAAATATCTTCACATAAAAACTCGATGGAAACATTGTGAGCAACTTCTTTGTGATGCCTATATTCAACTCATAGAGTTGAAACTTTCTTTTGATTGAATAGTTTGGAAAGAGTCTTATTGTAGAATCTGCAAAGGGGTATTTCTGAGCCGTTTTAGGCCTGTGGTGAAAAAGAAATATCTTCACATAAAAAGTAGACAGAAGTATTCTGAGAAACTTCTTTGTGATGTGGGCATTCATCTCACAGAATAGAAACTTTCTTTTGATTGAACAGTTTGGAAACACTCTTTATGTAGAATCTGCAAATGATTATTTGGAGTGCTTTGAGGCCTCTTGTAAAAAAGGAAATATCTTCAGGAAAAAAATAAACAGAAGCTTTCTGAGAAACTTCTTTGTGATGTGTGCATTCATCTCACAGAGTTCAACCTTTCTTTCAACTGGGCCGTTTGAAAACAGTCCTTTTGAAGAATCTGCAAATCGATATTTGGATCGCTTTGAGGCCTTTGGTGAAAAAGGAAATATCTTCACATGAAAACTAGACAAAAACATTCTGAGAAACTCCTTTGTGATGTGTGCATTCATCTCACAGTGTTAAAACTTTCTTTTGATGGAGCAGTTTGGAAACAGTCTTTTTGTGGTATCTGCAGAGGGATATTTGTGAGTGGTTTAAGGCCTATTGTGAAAAAGGAAATATCTTCACATAAACACTAGACAGAAGCATTCAGAGAAACCCCTTTCTGATGTGTCCGTTCATTTCACAGAGTTGAAACTTTCCTTTGACTGAGCAGTTTGGAAAGAGTCCTTTTGTAGAATTTGCAAAGGGATATTTGTGAGCCCATTATGGCCTAGGTCAAATAGGAAATATCTTCACAAAAAAGCTAAACAGAAGATTTTTGTGAAACTATTATTGATGTGTGTATTCATCTCACATAGTTGAAAATTTCTTTTGTTTCAGCAGTTTGGAAACATTCTTTTTGTAAAATCTGCAAAGGGATATTTCCGAGCCATTTGAGGCCTGCGGTGAAAAAGAAGTATCTTCACATAAAAACTAGACCAAAGCATTCTGAGAAACTTCTTTGTGATGTGTGCATTCATCTCACAGATTTGAACCTTTGTTTTGATTGAGCAGTTTGCAAACAGTCTTTCCATAGAATCTACAAATGGATATTTGTGAGCCCTGTATGTCCTATTGTGATAAAGGAAATATCTTTACATAATAACTAGACAGAAGGATTCTGAGAAACTTCTTTGTGATGTATGCATTCATCTCACAGAACTGAAACTTTCTTTTGCTTGAGCATTTTGGAAACAGTCTTTTCATAAAATCAGTAAAGGGATATTTCCGAGCCTTTTGAGGCCTATGGTGAAAAAGAAGTATGTTGACATAAAAACTAGACAGAAGCATTCTGAGAAACTTCTTTGTGACGTGTGTTTCATCTCACAGTGTTGAATGTTTCTTTTCATTGAGCAGTTTGGAAACAGTCTTTTCGTAGAATCTGCAAAGGGATATTTGTGAGCCGTTTATGCCCTATTGTGAAATAGGAAGTATCTTCACATAAAAACTAGACAGAATCATTCTGCAAAACTTCTTTGTGATGTGTGCATTCATCTCACTGATTTGAACATTTTCCTTTGATTCAGAAGTTTGGAAACACTATTTTTGTAGAATTTGAAAATGGATATTTGGAGCGCTTTGTGACCTATGGTGAAAAAGTTAATATCTTCACATAAAAACTAAACAGAAGCTTTATGAGAAACTTCCTTGTGGTGTATGCTTTTGTATAACAGAGATGAGCCTTTCTTTTGATTGAGTACGTTGGAAACACTCTTTTTGTATAATCTGTAAATGGATATAAGGAGCGCTTTGGGGCCTATGGTGAAAAAAGAAACACCTTCACATAAAAACAAGACAGAAGGATTCTGAGAAACTTCTTTGTGATGTGTGCATTCATCTCACAGAGTTGAACCTTTCTTTTGATGGAGCAGTTTCGAAACAGTCTATTTGTAGTATCTGCAGAGGGATATTTGTGAGCCGTTTAAGGCCAATTGTGAAAAAGGAAATATCTTCACATAAAAACTAGACAGAAGCACTTTGAGAAGCTTCTTTGTGTTGTGTGCGTTGATCCTGCAGAGTTGAACCTTTCTTTTGATTGAACAGTTTGGAAACACTCTTTTTGTAGAATTTGCAAATGGATATTTCGAGTGCTTTGAGGCCTATAGTGAAAAAGGGAATATCTTCACAAAACAACTAAACAGAAGATTTCTGAGAAAATTCTTTGTGATGTGTGAATTCATCTCACAGAGTTGAACCTTTCTTTTGATTGAGCAGTTTGGAAACACTCTTTTTGTGGAATCTGCAAATCGATATTTGGAGCGCTTTGAGGCCAATGGTAAAAAAGGAAATATCTTCACATAAAAGCTAGACAGAAGCATTCTGAGAAACTTCTTTGTTTTGTGTGCAATCATCTCATGGATTTTAGCCTTTCCTTTGACTCAGAAGTTTGGAAAGAGTCCTTTTGTAGAATCTGCAAAGGGATAATTGTGAGCCCTTTAAGGCCTATGGTGAAATAGGAAATATCTTCACACAAAAACTAGACAGAAGCTTTCGGAGAAACTTCTTTGTGATGTGTGTTTTCATCTCACAGAGTTGAACCTTACTTTTGATTGAGCTGTTTGGTAACAGTCTTTTTGTAGAATCTGCAAATGGATATTTGGAGTGCTTTCAGGCCTATATTGTAAAAGGAAATATCTTCACATAAAAATTAGACAGAAGCATTCTGAGAAACTTCTTTGAGATGTGTGCATTCATCTCACAGAGTTGAATCTTTCCTTTCATTGAAAAGTTGGGAAATAGCCTTTTTGTACAATCTTCAAAGGGATATTTCTGAGCCCTGTGAGGCCTATGGTGAAAAAGAAATATCTTCACATAAAAACTAGACAAAAGCATTCTAAGAAACTTCTTTTTTATGAGTGCATTCACCTTACAGAGTTTAAAATTTCTTTTCATTGAGCAGTTCAGAAAAAGTCTGTTTATAGAATCTGCAAATGGATATTTGTAGGACTTTGTGGCCTACAATGAAAAAGGAAATATCTTCACACAAAAACTAGACAGAAGCTTTCAGAGAAAATTCTTGGTTATGTGTACTTTCATCTCACAGAGTTGATCCTTTTTTTGATTGAGCAGTTTGGAAACACTCTTTTGTAGAACCTGCAAGTGGATGTTTGGAACACTTTGAGGCCTATGGTGAAAGAGGAAATATCTTCACATAAAATCTAAACAGAAGTTTTCTGAGACATTTTTTGTTATGTGTGCAATCATCTCACAGGGTTGAAGCTTTCTTTTGCCTGAGGAGTTTGGAAACAGTCTTTTTGTGCAATCTACAAAGGCATATTTCTGAGCCATTTGAGGTCTATAGTGAAAAAGAAATATCTTCATATAAAAACTGAAGAGAAGAATTCTGGGAAACTTCTTTGTGATGAGTCCATTCATCTAACAGAGTAGAACCTTTCTTTTGATGGAGCAGTTTGGAAACCATCTCTTTGTAAAATCTACAGAATGATATTTCTGTGTTGTTTGAGGCCTATGGTGAAAAAGAAATTTCTTCACATAAAAACTAGAGAGAATATTTCTGAGAAACTTCTTTCGTTGTGTGCTATCATCTCACAGAGTTGAACCTTTCTTTTCATTGAGCAGTTTGTAAACAGTCTTTGTTAGAATCTGCAAAGGGATATTTGTGAGCCCCTTGAGACCTATGGTGAAATAGTAAATATCTTCACCTAAAAACTAGACAGAAACTTTTTGAGAAACTTCTTTGTGATGTATGCATTCATCTCACAGTATTGAACCTTTATTTTCATTGAGCAGTTTGGAAATATTCTTATAGTTGAATCGGCATACAGACATTTTGAGTGCTTTGGGGCCCATGGTGAAAAAGGAAATATATTTACATAAAAACTAGACAGAAGATTTCTGAGAAACATCTTTGTGACGTGTGCATTCACCTCCAAGTGCTAAATCTTTCTTTTGATTTTGCAGTGAGGAAACAGTGTTTTTGTAGTATCTGTAAAGGGATATATTTGAGACTGTTGTGGCCTTTGGTGAAAAAGGAATTATCTTCACATAAAAAAAGGCAGAAGATTTCTTAGAAACTTCGTTGTGATGGAAGAATTTATATCTCAGAGTTGAACATTTCCATTGACTGAGCAGTTTGGAAACAGGTTTTATGAAGAAACTGCAAAGGGATATTGGTGAGCCATTTGAGGACTAGGGTGAAAAAGGAAATACTTTCACATTAAAAATTAACAGAAGGTTATTGAGAAACTTCTTTGAGAAAAGTGCATTCATCTCAAAGAGTTGAACCTTTCTTTTGATTGAGCAGTTTGGGAACAGTCTTTCTGCAGTATCTGGAAATGGATATTTGGAGTGCTTTGTGACCTATGTTGAAAAAGGAAATATTTTCACATAAAAACTAGACAGAAGCATTCTGAGAAACTTCTTTGTGATGTGTGCATTCATCTCACAGAGTTGAACCTTCCTTTTGGTTGGGCAGTTTTGAAAACCTCTTTTTGTGAATTCTGCAAGTGGATATTTGGAGCGCTTTGGGGCCTATGGTGGAAAAGGAAATATCTTCACATAAAAACTAGACAGAAGCATTCTGAGAAACTTCTTTGTGATGTGTGCATTCAGCTCAAAGGGTTTAACATTTCTTTTGAGTGAACTGTTTGGAAACAGTCTTTTGTAGTATCTGTAAATGGATATTTGGAGCACTTTGAGGCCTTTGTTTAAAAAGGAAATATCTTCACGTAAAAACTAGACAGAAGCATTCACAGAAACTTCTTTGTGATGTGCGCATTCAACTCACAGAATTGAACCTTTCTTTGGATTGAGCAGTTTGGAAGCAGTCTTTTTGTATTATCTACAAATGGATATTTGGAGCGCTTTGAGGCCTATGGTGAAAAAGGAAATACCTTCACATAAAAACTAGATAAAAGCATGCTGAGAAACTTCTTTGTGATGTGTGGATTCATCTCATAGAGGTGAACATTTCTTTAAATGAGCATTTTGGAAACTGTCGTTTTGCAGAATGTGCAAAGGGATATTTTTCACCTCAAGGAGACCTATGTGGAAATAGGAAATATTTTCACATAAAAACTAGACAGAAAGTTCCTGAGAAGCTTCTTTGTGATGGATGCTTTCATCTCACAGAGTTGAACATTTCTTTTGATTGAGCAATTTTGAAACACTCTTTTTGTAGAATCTGCAAGTGGATATTTGGAGTGCTTTGAGGTCTACTGTGGAAAAGGAAATATCTTCACAGAAAAACTAGACAGAAGCATTTTGAGAAACTTCTTTGTGATGTGTGCATTCATCTCACAGAGTTGAACCTTTCCTTTGATTGAGCTATTTGGAAACTGTCTTTTTGTAGTATCTGCAAAAGGATAGTTGGAGTGCTTTGACACCTATGGTGAAAAAGGAAATATCTTCACATAAAAACTAGACAGAAGCATTCTGAGAAACTTCTTGTTGATTTCTGCTTTCATATCACAGAGTTGAACCTTTGTTTTGACTGAAAAGTTTTGAAACACTGTTTTTTAGAATCTGCAAGTGGATATATGGAGCACTTTGCGCCTATCCTGGAAAATTAAATATCTCCACATAAAAACTAGACAGAAACATTCTGAGAAACTTCTTTGTGATGTGTGCATTCATCTCATAGATTTGAACCTTGCTTTTGATTGAGCAGTTTTGAAACACTTTTTTTGTAGAATCTGCAAGTGGATATTTGCAGCGCTTTGCGGCCTATAGAGGAAAAGGAAATATCTTCACAAAAAAAACTATACAGACTCATTCTGGGAAACTACTTTGTCACGTGTGCATTCGACTCACAGAGTTCAACCTTTCTTTTGATTGAGCAGTTTTGAAACACTCTTTTTTAAGAATCTGCAAGGGGATTTTTCGAGCACTTTGTGGCCTATAGTGGAAAAGGAAATATCTGCACAAAAAAAAACTAGACAGAAATATTCTGAGAAACTTCTTTGTGATGTGGGCATTCATGTCACAGAGCTGAATCTTTCTTTGCATTGAGCAGTTTTGAAACACTCTTTTTGTAGAATCTTCAAGTGCATACTTGAAGTGCTTTGTGGCCTATAGTGGAAAAGGAAATATCTTCACATAAAAACTACACAGAACCATTCTGAAAAACTTCTTTGGATGTGTGCGTTCGCCTCACACAGACGAATCTTTCTTTTGATTGAACAGTTTTGAAACACTCTTTTTGTAGAATCTGCAAATGGATATTCGGAGCATCTTCACATAAAAACAAGACAGAGGCACTCTGATAAACTTACTTGAGAAGTGTACATTTAACTCACAGAGTTGAATCTTTTTTTTTTTTTGATTGAACAGTTTTGAAGCACTGTTTTTGCAGAATCTGCAAGTGGATATTTGAAACGCTTTGTGGCCCTTAGTGAAAAGGAAATATCTTCACATAAAAACTAGACAGAGGCATTCTGAAAAACTTCTTAGTGATGTGTGCATTCATCTCACAGAGTTGAACTTCACTTTTCAGTGAGCAATATGGAAACAGTCTTTTCGTAGAATCTGCAAAGGTATAATTGAGATCCCTTTAGGGCCTATTGAGAAACAGGAAATATCTTCACATAAAAAGTAGGCAGAAGTATTCTGAGAAACGACTTTGTGATGTGTGCGTTCATCTCACAGTGTTGAAACTGTGCTTTGATTGAACAGTTTGGAAAGCACCTTTTTGTACATTCTGCATAGGGATATTCCTGAGCCATTTGAGGCCTATTGTGAAAAAGAAATATCTTCACGTAAAAACTAGACAGAAGCATTCAGGGAAACTTCTTTGTGATGTATCCATTCATCTCACAGGGTTGAATCTTTTTTGAATGAGCAGTTTGGAAAGAGTATTATCATAGAACATGCAAAGGGATATTTGTGAGCCCTTTATGGCCCATTGTGAAATAGGAAATACACTCACATAAAAACTAGACAGAACTTTTCTGAGAACCTTCTTTGTGATGTATGCTTTCAAGTCTCAGAGTTGAAACTTCCTTTTGTTTGAGGAGTTTGGAGACAGTCTTTTTGTAGAATTTATAAATGGATATTTGGAGCGCTTTGAGGCTTATGGTGAAAAAGGAAATATCTTCAAATTAAATATAGACAGAAATATTCTGAGAAACTCCTTTGTGATGTGTACATTCATCTCACAGAGTTGAAACATTCTTTGATGGAGCAGTTTGGAAAGAGACTTATTACAGTATCTGCACAGGGATATTTGTGAGCAGTTTAAGGCCTATGGTGAAAAAGAAAATATCTTCACATAAAAACTAGACTAAAGCATTCTGAGAAACTTCTATGTGATATGTGCATTCATCTCAGAGAGTCGAACCTTTATTTTGATTGAGCAGTTTGGAAAGAGTCCTTTTGTAGAATCTGCAAAGGGATATTTGTGAGACCTTGATGGCCTACGGTGAAATAGAGAATACCTTCACAAAAAATCTAGACAGAAGCTTTCTGAGAAACTTCTTTGTGATATATGATTTCATCTTCCTGGTTTGAAGGTTCCTTTTCACTGAGCAGTTTGGAAAGAGTCTTTTTGTAGAATCTACAAATGGATATTTGGAGCACTTTGAGGCCTACGGTGAAAAAGGAAATATCTTCACATAAAACTAGACAGAAGCATTCTGACAAACTTTTTGATGCCTGCATTTATCTCACACAGTTAAAACTTTCTTTGCATTGAGCAGTTTCGAAAAAGTCTTTTTGTACAATCATCTGCAAAGGGATATTTGGGAACCCATTGAGGCCTATGGTGAAATAGGAAATATCTTCACTTAAAAACTAGAAAGAAGCATTCTGAGAATTTTCTTTGTGATGTGTGCATTCATCTGACAGAGTTGAAAATTTATTTGATGGATAAGTTTAGAAAGAGTCCTTTTGTAGTATCTGCAGAGGGATACTTGTGAGTGGTTTAAGGCCTATTGTGAAAAAGGAAATATCTACACATAAAAACTAGACAGAAGCATTCTGAGAAACTTCTTTGTGATGCATCCATTCATCTCACAGAGTTGAACCTCTCTTTTGATTGAGCAGCTTGGAAAGAATCCTTTTGTAGAATCTGCAAAGGGATATTTGTGAACCCTTGATGTTCTATGGTGAAATAGGAAATATCTTCACACAAAAATTAGACAGAAGCATTCTGAGAAACTTCTTTGTGATGTATGTATTTATCTCACAGAGTTGAAGGCTTCTTTGGATTGAGTAGTTCTGAAACACTCTTTTTGCAGAATCCGCAAGTGGATATTTGGAGCGTTTTGAGGCCTATCCTGAAAAAGGAAATATCTTCACATAAAAACTAGACAGAAGCATTTTGAGGAACTTCTTTGTGATATGTGCATTCATCTCACCGAGTTGAACCTTTCTTTTGGTTTAGCAGTTTGAAACAGTCATTTTGTAGTATCTGCAAGTGGATATTTGGAGCACTTTGAGTCCTATGGTGGAAAAGGAAATATCTTCACATAAGAAGTAGATGGAAACACTCTGAAAAACTTTTTTGTGATGTGTATATTCATCTCACAGAGTGGAACCTTTCTTATGATTCAGCAGTTTTCAAACACACTCTTGGTAGAAACTGCAGGAGGATATTTGGAACACTTGCAGCCTATACTGGAAAAGAAAATATCTTCACATAAAAACTAGACAGAAGCATTCTGAGAAACTTCTTTGTGTTGTGTGTATTTATCTCAAAGAGTTGAAGGTTTCTTTTGATTGAGCAGTTCTGAAACACTCTTTTTGTGGAATCCGCAAGTGGATATTTGGAGTGCTTTGAGGTCTATGGTAGAAAAGGAAATATCTTCACATAAAACTAGACAGAAGCATTCTGAGAAACTTCTTTGTGATGTGTGCATTCATCTCACAGAGATGAACATTTCTTTTGATTGAGCAGTTTTGAAACACTCTTTTTGTAAAATCTCCAAGTGGAAATTTGGAGCACTTTGCGGTCAATAGTGGAAAAGGAAATATATTCATGTAAAATCTAGGCAGAAGAAATCTGAGAAACTTCTTTCTGATGTGTGCATTCTTCTCACATACTTTTGATTGAGCAGATTTGAAACACACTTTTTGTAGAATCTGGAGTTGGATATTTGGAGTGCCTTGAAGCAAATGCTGGAAAAGGAAATATCTTCACATGAAAACTAGAAGGAAGCATTCTGAGAAACTTACTTATTTGTGATGTTTGCATTCATCTCACAGAGTTGAAACTTTCTTCGAGTTGAGCAGTTTTGAAACACTCATTTGCAGAATCTGCAAGAGGATACTTGGAGCAATTTGAGGCCTATAATGGAAAAGGAAATATCTTTACATAAAAACTAGAGAGAAACATTCTGAAAAACTTCTTTGAGATGTGTGCTTTCATCTCACAGAGTTGAACCATTCTTTTGATTGAGCAGATTAGAAACAGTTTCTTTGTAGTATCTGCAATTTGATATTTGCAGTACCTTGAGGCCTATAGTGGTAAAGGAAATATCTTCCCATAAAAACTACACAGAAGCATTCTGAGAAACTTCTTTGTGATGTGCACATTCATCTCAGAGAGATGAACCTTTCTTTTGATTGAGCAGTTATCAAACTCTCTTCTTGTAGAATCTACAGGTAGATATTTGGAGCGCTTTGTGGCCTACAGTGGAAAAGGAAATATCTTCCCATAAAAACTAGACAAATGCATTCTGAGAAACATCTTTGTGATGCATCCATGCAACTCCCAGTGTTGAACCTTTCTTTTGATGGAGCTGTTTGGAAACTGTCTTTTTGCGGTATCTGCAAATGTATATTTGGAGAGCTTTGAGGCCTATAGTGGAAAAGGAAATATCTTCACATAAAAACTAGACAGAAGCATTCTGAGAAACTTATTTCTGATGTGTGCATCCCACTCACAGAGTTGAAACTTTCTTTTGATGGAGGAGTTTTTAAACAGTCTTTCTGTAGTATCTGCAAATGCATATTTGGAGTGCCTTGAGGCCTATGGTGGAAAAGGAAATATGTTTACATAGAAACTAGACAGAAGCATTTTGAGAAACTACTTTGTGATGTGTGCATTGAACTCACAGAGTTCGCTTTTCATTGAGCAGTTTTGAAACACTCTTTTTGAAGAATCTGCAGGTGGATATTTGGGCAATTTGAGGTCTATGGTGGAAAAGGAAATATCTTCCCATAAAAACTAGACAGAAGCATTCTGAGAAACTACTCTGTGATGTGTGCATTCAACTCACAGAGTTGAACCTCTCTTTTGAATGAGCAGTTTTGAAACACTCTTTTTGTAGAATCTGCAAGTTGATATTTGGAGCGCTTTGCGCCCTCTAGTGGAAAAGGAAATATCTTCACATAAAAACTACACAGAAGCATTCTGAGAAACTTCTTCGTGATGTATGCATTCATCTCACAGAGTTGAAATTTTCTTTTGATTGAGCAGTTTTGAAACACTCTTTTTGTATAATCTGCAAGTGGATATTTGTAGTGCTTTGAGACCTATAGTGGAAAAGGAAATATCTTCACATAAAAACTAGACAAAAGCATTCTGAGAAACATCTTTGTGATGTGTGCATTCAACTCCCAGTGTTAAACCTTTCTTTCGAATGAGCAGTTTTGAAACACTCTTTTTGAAGTATCTGCAAATGGATATTTGGAGAGTTTTGAGGCTTATAGTTGAAAAGGAATTATCTTCACACAAAAATTGGACAGAAACATTCTGAGAAACTTCTTTGTAATTTGTGCATTCATCTCACAGTGTTGAAATTTTCTTTTGATTCAGCAGTTTTGAAACACTCTTTTTGTAGAATCTGAAAGTGTATATTTGGAGCGCTTTGAGGCTGAAGGTGGAAAAGGAAATATATTCACAGAAAAATTAGACAGAACCATTCTGAGAAACATCTTTGTGATGTGTGCATTCAACTAACAGAGTTGAACCTCTCTTTGGATTGAGCAGTTTTGAAGCACTCTTTTTGTAGAATCTGCAAGTGGATATTTGGAGCGCTTTCAGACCTATGGTTCGAAAGGAAATATCCTCACATAAAATCTAGACAGAAGCACTCTGAGAAACTTCTTTGTGATGTGTGTATTCAACTCAAAGATTTGAAACTTGCTTTTGATTGAGCAGTTTTAAGCAGTCTTTTTTCAGTATCTGCAAATGAATATTTGATGCCTATGCTGAAAGACGAAATATCATCACATAGAAACTAGACTGAAGCATTCTGAGAAACTTCTTTGTGATGTGTTCATTCAACTCACAGTGTTGAACCTCTCTTTTGATTGAGCAGTTTTCAAACACTTTTTGTAAAATCTGCAAGTGGATATTTGGAA
The DNA here is from genome assembly GCF_000001405.40 of Homo sapiens. NCBI lineage: Eukaryota > Metazoa > Chordata > Mammalia > Primates > Hominidae > Homo > Homo sapiens. The sequence continues at coordinate 90,351,523 of NC_000003.12, read as the reverse complement.
TGCTTTGTGACGTATGGTGGAAAAGGAAATATCTTTACATAAAATCTGGACAGAAACATTCTGACAAACTTCCTTGTGATGTTTGCATTCAACTCACAGAGTTCAATCTTTCTTTTGATTGAGCAGTTTTGAAACACTCTTTTTGTGGAATCTGGAGGCGGATATTTGGAGCGCTTTCAGGCCTAAGGTGGAAGAGGAAATATATTCAAATAATAACTAGAAAGAAGCATTCTGAGAAACTTCTTGGTGATGTGTATAGTCATCTCACAGGGTTGAATGGTTCTTTTGATTAAGCAGTTTTCAAACATTCTTTTTCTGGAATCTACAAGTGGATATTTGGAGTGCTTTGAGGACTATGGTGGAAAAGAAAATATCTTCAAATAAATACTAGACAGAAGCATTCTGAGAAAGTTCTTTGTGATGTGTGCATTCAACTCAAAGAGTTGAATCTTTCATTTGATTGAGCAGTTTTGAAACACTGTTTTTTTAGGATCTGCAAGTGTATATTTGGAGTGCATTTCGGCCTCTAGGGGAGAAGAAAATACCTTCACATAAAAACTAGACAGAAGCATTCTGAGAAACTACTTTTGATGTGTGCATTCATCGTACACTGTTGAAAATGTCTTTTGATTGAGCAGTTTTGAAACAGTCTTTTTGTAGAATCTGCAAAGGGATATTTGTGAGCCCATTGAGGTCCATGGGGAAGTAGAAAATATCTTCACATAAAAACTAGACAGAAACTTTCTGAGAAACCCCTTTTGATGTGTGCTTTCATCTCTCAGAGTTGAAACTTTCTTTTGATTGAGCAGTTTGGAAACAGTCTTTTTGTAAAATCTGCAAGTGGATATTTGGAGCGCTTTGAGGCTTATGGTGACAAAGGAAATATCTTCACATAAAAAGTAGATAGAAGCATTCTGAGAAACTTCTTTGTGATGTGTGCATTCATCTCATAAAGTTGAACCTCTCTTTTGATTTAGCAGTTTGGAAACAGTCTTTTTGGAGTATCTGCAAATGGATATTTGGAGCACTTTGAAACTCTGGGGAAAAGTAAATATCTTCACATAAAAACTAGACAGACTCATTCTGAGAAACTTCCCTGTGATGTGTGCATTCATCTCAGAGGGTTGAACCTTTCTTTTTATTGAGCAGTTTTGAAACACTCTTTTTATAGAATCTGCAAGTGGATATTTGGAGCGGTTTGAGGCCAACGGTGTAAAACGATATATCTTCACAAAAAAAGCTAGGCAGAAGCATTCTGGGAAACTTCTTTGGATGTGTGGATTCATCTCACAGACTTGAACCTTTCTTTTGATTGAGCAGTTTGGAAACAGTCTTCTTGTAGTATCTGCAAATTGATACTTGGACCGCTTTGAGGCCAGTGGTGAAAAAGGAAACAGCTTCCCATAAAAACTATACAGAAGCATTCTGGGAAACTCCCATGAGATGTGTGCCTTCATCTCACAGAGTTGAACCTTTCCTTTGATTGAGCAGTTTTGAAACACTCTTTTGGTAGTATATGCAAGTGGATATTTGGAGCGCTTTGTGGCCTATGGTGAAAAAGGAATTATCTCCATATAAAAACTAGCCAGAGCCATTCTGAGAAACTTCTTTGTAATGAGTGCATTCATCACGCAGAGCTGAATCTTTCTTTTAATTGAACAGTTTTGAAACACTCTTTTTGTAGCGTCCGCAAGTGGATATTTGGAGTCCTTTGAGGTCTATGGAGGAACAGGAATATCTTCACATAAAAACTGGAAAGAAGCATTCTGAGAAACATCTTTGTGATGTGTTCATTCATCTCACAGAGTTGAACTTTATTTTGATTTGGCAGTTTGGAAACAGTCTTTATGTAGAATCTGCAAGTGGATATTTGGACCACTTTGAGGCCATTGGTGAAAAAGGAAATATCTTCACATAAAAACTAGACAGAAGCATTATGAGAAACCTCTTTGTGATGTGTGCATTCATCTCACAGAGTTGAATCTTTCTTTTCTTTGAGCAGTTAGGAAACAGACTTTTATTATATCTACAAATGGATATTTGAAGCGCTTTGAGGCCTATGGTGAAAAAAAATGTCTTCACATAAAAACTAGACAGAAGCATTCTGAGAAAGTTATTTGGATGTTTGCATTCACCTCACAGTCTTGAAACTTTCTTTTGATTGAGCAGTTTGGAAACAGTCTTCTTGTACTATCTAGAAATGGATATTTGGAGTGCTTTGAGGCCTATGGTGAAAAAGGAGATATTTTCCCATAAAAACTAGACAGAAGCATTCCGAGAAACTTCTTTGTGATGTGTACATTTATCCAACAGAGTTGAAAATTTCTTTTGATTGAACAGTTTTGAAACACTCTATTTATAGTATCTGCAAGTGGAGAGTTGGAACGCTTTGAGGCCCATGGTGGAAAAGGGCCTATCTTCACGTAAAACTGGAGAGAAGAATTTTGAGAAACTTCTTTGTGATGTGTGCATTCATCCCAGAGAGTTAAAACTTTCCTTTTATTGAGCAGTTTGGGAACAGTCATTTTGTAGAATCTGCAAAGGGATATTTGTCAGCCCTTTGAGGCCTATGGGGAAATAGGAAATATCTTCACATAAAAACTAGACAGAAACTTTCTGAGAAATATCTTTGTGATGTGTGATTTCGTCTCACAGAGTTGAATCTTTCTTTTGATTGAGCATTATGGAACCAGTCTTTCTGTAGAATGTGCAAGTGGATATTTGGAGCTCTTTGTGGCCTCTGGTGGAAAATGAAATATCTTCTCATCAAAAACTGAAAGAAGAATTCTCGGAAACTTCTTTGTCACCTGTGCATTCATCTCACAAAGTTGAAACTTTCTTTTGATTTAGCAGTTTGGAAAGAGTCTTTTTGTAATATCTGCAAATGGATATTTTGAACACTTTGACGCCTTTGGTGAAAAAGGAAATATATTCACATAAAAACTAGACAGAAGCATTCTGAGAAACTTCTTTGTGATGTGTGCATTCATCTCACAGATTTGAAACTTTCTTTAGATTGAGCAGTTTTGAAACACTCTTTTTGTAGAATCTGCAAGAGGACACATGGAGGGTTTTGAGGCCTGTGGTAGAAAAGGAAATATCTTCACATAAAAACTAGATAGAATCCTTCTGAGAAACTTCTTTGTGATGTTTGCATTCATCTCACAGAGTTGAAACTTTCTTTTGCTTGAGCTTTTTGGAAACAATAGTTTTGTAGAATCTGCAAAGGGATAATGGTGAAACCATTGAGGTTTAGGGTAAATAGGAAATATCTTCACATAAAAACTAGGCAGATACTTTCTGAGAAACTTCTTTGTGATGTATGTCTTCATTTCACAATGTTAAAACTTTCTTTTGATCGAGCAGTTTGGAAACACTCTCTTTGCAGTATCTGCAAATGGATATATGGAGAGCTATGAGGCCTATGGTGAGAAAGGAAATATCTTCACATAAAACTTGAGAGAAGCATTGTGAGAAACTACTTTGGGATGTGTGCATTCATCTCACAGATTTGTAACTTCCTTTTGATGGACCAGTTTGCAAACAGTCTTTTTGTAGTATCTGCGAATGCATATTTGGAGCAGTTGGAGGCCTATGGCAAAAAAGGAAATATCTTCACATAAAAACTTGAAAGACGCACTATGAGAAACCACTTTGTGATGTGTGCATTCACCTCACACAGTTTAAAGTTTCGATTGATTGAGTGGTTTTGATACACTCTTTTTGAAGAATCTGCAAGTGGATGCTTGTAGCGCTTTGAGGTCTATGGTGGAAAAGGAAATATCTTCACATAAAAACTAGTCAGATGCATTCTGAGAAACTTCTTTGTGATGTGTGCATTCATCTCACAGTCTTGAAAATTTCTTTTCATTGAGCAGTTTGGAAACAGTCGTTTTGAAGAATCTGCAAAGGGATATTTGTGAGCCCTTTGAGTCCTATGGGGAAATAGGAAATATCTTCATATAAAAACTAGACAGAAAGTTTCTGAGAAACATCTTTGTGATGTGTGCTTTCTTCTCACAGAGTTGAAACTTTCTTTTCATCCAGGAGGTTGGAAACAGCGTTTTGTTAGGATCTGCAAGTGGATATTTGGAGCACTTTGTGGCCTATGGTGGAAAATAAAATATCTTCATATAAAAACTATACAGAATCATTCTGAGAAACTTCCTTGTGATGTGTGCTTTCATCTCACAGAGATGAAACTTTCTTTTGATTGAGCAGTTTGAAAACAGTCATTTTCTAGAATCTCCAAGTGGATACATGGAGCTCTTTGAGACCTTTGGTGATAAAGGAAATATCTTCACATAAAAAATAGACAGAAGCATTCTGAGAAACTTCTTTGTGATGTGTGCATTCATCTCACACAGTTGAAACATTCTGTTCATTGAGCAGTTTTGAACACTCTTTTTGTAGAATCTGCAAGTGTATATTTGGAGCACTTTGTGGTGTACAGTGGAAAAGGATTTATCTTCCCATAAAAACTAGACAGAAGCATTTTGAGAAACTTCTTTGTTATGTGTGCATTCATCTCACAGAGTTGAACGTTACCTTTGATTAAGCAATTAGGAAACATTCGGTTTTTAGAATCTGCAAAGGGATATTTCTGAGACCAGTGAGGCCTATGGGGAATTAGGAAATATTTCACATAAAAACTAGACAGAATCTTTCTGAGAAACTTTTTTGTGATTTGTTCTTTCATCTCCCAGAGTTGAAACTTTCTTTTGCTTCAACATTTTGGTGGCAGTCTTTTTGTAGAATATTTAAGTGGATATTGTGAGTGCTTTGAGGCCTATGGCGAAAAAGATAATATCTTCACATAAAAACTAGACAGAAGCATTCTCAAATACTTCTCTCGATGTTTGCATTCATCTCAGAGAGTTGAAAATTTCCTTTGATTGAGCTGTTTGGAAACAGTCTTTTGTAATATCTCCAAATGGATATTTGGAGCGCTTTGGGGCCTATGGTGAAAAAGCAAATATCTTCACATAACAACTAGACAGAAGCTTTCTGAGAAACTTCTTTTTGATGTGTGCATTCATCTCACATATCTGAACCTTTCTTTTGATTGAGCAGTTTAGAAAAAGTCTTCTTGTAGTAACTGCAAATGTATATTTGGAGCACTTTGTGGCCTTTTGTGGAAAAGGAAATATATTCCCATAAAAACTAGAGAGAAGCATTCTGAGAAACTTCTTTGTGAGGGGTGCATTCACCTCACAGTGTTGACATTTTCTTTTGATTGAGAAGTTTTGAAACACTATTTTTGTAGAATCTACAAAGGGATATTTTTGAATACATTGAGGTCTATAGAGAAATAGGAAACATCTTCACATAAAAACTAGACAAAAGGGTTCTGAGAAACATGTTTGTGATCTATGCATTCATCTCAACAAGTTGAAACTTTCTTTGATTGAGCAGTTTTGAAACACTCTTTTTGTAGAATCTGCAAGCGCATATGTGGAGCGCTTTGTGGCCTTTGATGAGAAAGGAAATATCTTCACATAAAAACTAGACAGAAGCATTCTGAGAATCTTCTTTGTGATGTCTGTATTCATCTCACGAAGTTGAACCTTTATTTTCTTTGAGCAGTTTTGAAACACAATTTTTGTAGATTCTGCCAGGGGATATTTTTGAGCCCTTACAGTCTTATGGGGAAATAGGAAACATCTTCAAATAAAAACTAGAAAGATACTTTCTGAGAAACTTCCTTGTGATGTGTGCTTTCATCTCACAAATTTGAAACTTTCTTTTAATTGTGCAGTTTGGAAGCAGTCTTTTGTAATATCTGCAAATGGGTATTTGGAGCACTTTGAGGCCTATGGTGAAAAAGGAAATATCTTCACATAAAAACTAGACAGAAGTATTCTGAGAAACTTCTTTCTAATGTGTGCATTTATCTCACAGAGTTTAACTTCTTTTTGATTGAGCAGTTTTGAAACACTCTTTTTGTAGAATCTACAAGTGGATATTTGGAGCGCTTTGAGGCCTATGTTGGAAAATATGTCTTCACATAAAAACTAGACAGAAGCATTCTGAGAAACTTCTTTGTGATGTGTACATTCATCTCAGAGAGTTGAACATTACTTTTGATTGAGCTTTCCGGAAACAGTTGTTTTGTAGTATATGCAGAGGGATATTTGTGAGCCCATTGAGGCCTATAGTGAAATAGGAAATATCTTCACATAAAAACTGGTTAGAAATTTTCTCAGAAACTTCTTTGTGATGTGTGCTTTCATCTCACAGAGTTGAAACTTTCTTTTGATTGATCAGTTTGGAAACAGTCTTTTTGAAGAATCTGCATGTCAATAATTGGAACGTTTTCTGCCTAGGGTGAAAAAGGGAATATTTGCACACAAAAACTAGACAAATGCATTCTCAGAAACTTCTTAGTGGTGTGTGCATTCTTCTCATAGAGTTGAACCTTTCTTTTGAATGAGCACTTTGGAAACAGTCTTTTTCTAATATAGGCAAATGGATATTTGCAGCACTTTGAGGCCTATGGTGAAAAAGTAAATATCTTCACATTAAGCTAGACAGAAGCATTCTGAGAAACTACTCTGTGATGTGTGCATTCATCTCACATAGTTGAACCTTTCTTTTGATTGAGCAATTAGGAAACTGTCTTTTTGTAATATCTACAAATAAGTATTTTGAGGACTTTGAGGCTTATGGTGAAAAAGGAAATATCTTCACACAAAAACTAGACAGAAGCATTCAGAGAAACTTCTTTGTGATGGGTGCATTCATCTCACAGATTTCAACAGTTCTTTTGATTGAGCAGTTTTGAAACACTCTTTTTCTAGAATCTGTAGGTGGATATTTGCAGCACTTTGAGGCCTATAGTGGAAAAGGAATATCTCCATATAAAAACTAGACAGAAGCATTCTGAGAAACTTTTTGTGATGTGTGCATTCCTCTCAGAGTGTTGAAAATTTCTTTTGATTGAGCAATTTGGAAAGAGTCGTTTTGTAGAATCTGCAATGGGATATTTGTGAGCCCATTGAGGCCTTCGGGGAAATAGGAAATATCTTCACGTAAAAACTAGACAGAAATTTTCTGAGAAACATCTTTGTGATGTTTGCTTTCATCTCACAGAGTTGAACCTTTTTTTTTGATTGAGCAGTTTGGAAATAGCCTTTTTGCAGAAACTGCAAGTGGATATTTTGAGTGCTTTAAGGACTATGGTGAAAAATGAAATATCTTCACAGAAAAACTAGACAGAAGCATTCTGAGAAACTTCTTTGTGATGTGTGAATTCATCTCACAGAGCTGAAACTTTCTTTTGATTCTGCAGTTTTGAAACACTCTTTTTGGAGAATCTGCAAGTGGATATTTGGAGCACTTTGTGGCCTTTGGTGAGAAAGGAAATATCATCACATAAAAACTAGACAGAAGTATTCTGTGAAACTGCTTGGTGTTGTGTGCATTCGTCTAACAGAGATGAACCTTTCTTTTGATTGAGCAGTTTTGAAACACTCTTTTTGTAGTATCAACCAAGTGGTATTTGTGAGCCCTTTGAGGCCTATGGGGTAATAGAAAATATCTTCACATAAAAACTAGACAGAAACTGATTGAGAAACTTCTTTGAGATATGTGCATTCATCTCACATTCAACCATTCTGTTGATTGAGCACTTTTGAAACACTCTTCTTGTAGAATCTGCAAGTCGATATTTGGAGCGCTTTGAGGCCTATTGTGGAAAAGGAAATATCTTCACATAAAAACTAGAAAGAAGCATTCTGACAGACTTCTTTGTGATGTGTGCATTCGTCTCACACATTGAAATTTTCTTTTTATTGAACAGTTTGCAAACAGTCGTTTTGTAGAAACTGCAAAGGGATATTTGTGAGACCATTGAGGCCTATGGGGAAACAGGAAATATCTTCACATAAAAACTAGACAGAAACTTTCTGAGAAACTTCTTTGTGATGTGTGCATTCATCTCACAGAGTTGAACCTTTCTTTTATTGAGTAGTTTGAAAACAGAATTTTTGTAGTATCTGCAAATGGATATTTGGAACACTTGGATGCCTATGGTGAAAAAGGAAATATCTTCACATAAAAACTAGAGAGAAGCATTCTGAGAAACTTCCTTGTGATGTGTTCATTCATTTCACAGAGTTTAAACTTTCCTTTCATTGAGCAGTTCTGAAACACTCCTTTTGTAGAATCTCCAAGTGGATATTTGGAGTGCCTTGGGGCCTATGGTGGAAAAGGAAATATCTTGACATTAAAACTAGACAGAAGCATTCTGAGAAACTTCTTTGGATGTTTGCATTCACCTCACAGTCTTGAAACTTTCTTTTGATTGAGCAGTTTGGAAACAGTCTTCTTGTACTATCTATCTAGAAATGGATATTTGGAGTGCTTTGAGGCCTATGTTGGTAATGGAAATACCTTCACATAATAACTAGGGAGAAGAATTCTGAGAAACTTATTTTTGATGTATTCATTTATCTCACAGAGTTGAACCTTTCTTTTGATTGATCCGTTTGGAAACAGTCTTTCTGTAGTATTTTTTTAAAATGGATATTTCGAGTGCTTTGAGGTCTATGGTGAAAAAGGAAATATCTTCACATAAAAAGTTGACAGAAGCATTCTGAGAAAATTCTTTGTGACGTGTTCATTCATCTCACAGATTTGAAGCTTTCTTTTGATGGAGCAGTTTGGAAACAGTCTTTTTGTAGTATCTGCAGAGGGATATTTGTGACTGGTATAAGGCCTATGGTGAAAATGGAAATATCTTCGCATAAAAACTAGACATAAGCATTCTGAGAAACTTCTTTGTGATGTTTGCTTTTATCTCACCGAGTTGAAACTTTCTTTTGATTCAGCAGGTTGGAAAGACTCCTTTTTTTGAATCTGAAAATGGATATTTGGAGTGCTTTGAGGCTTATGTTGAAAAAGGAGTTATCTTTACACAAAAAATAGAAGCATTTTGAGAAAATTCTTTGTAATGACTGCATTCACCTCACTGTGTTGAACTTTACTTTTCATTGATTCATTTGGAAATAGTCTTTTTGTAAAATCTGCAATATGATATTTCCAAGCCATTTGATGCCTATGCTGAAAAATAAATATCGTCACATAAAAACTAGACAGAAGCATTCTGATAAACTTCTTTGTGAAGTGTGCATTCATCTCACAGAGTTGAACCTATCTTTTGATTGAGCAGTTTGGAAACAGTCCTTTCGTAGAATCTGCACAGTGTTATTTTTGAGCCCTTGATGGACTATGGTGAAACAGGAAATATCTTCACATAAAAACTAGACAGAAGCTTTCTGAGAAACTTCTTTGTGATGTATGCTTTCATCTCACAGAATTGAACCTTTCTTTTGATTGAGCATTTTCAAAATAGTCTTTTTGTAGAATCTGCAAATGGATATTTGGAGCACTCCGAGGCCTATGGTTAAAAAGGAAATATCTTCACACGAAAAGTAGACAGAAGCATTCTGATAAACTACTTTGTGATGTGTGCATTCATCTCACAGAGTTGAAACTTTCTTTTGCTTAAGCACTTTGTAAACAGTCTTTTTGTACTATCTGAAGAGCGAAATTTGTGACCGGTTTAGGGCCTATGCTAAAAAAGGAAATGCATTCACATAAAAACTAGACAGAACCATTCTGAGAAACCTCTTTGTGATGTGTGCGTTCATCTCGCAGAATTGAAACTTTCTTTTGATTGAGCCTTTTGGAAAAACTCTTTTTCTATAATCTGCAAACAGATATTTGGAGGGCTTTGAGGCCTATGGTCTAAATGAAAATATCTTCACAGAAAAACTACACAGAAGCATTCTGGGAAACTTCTTCATGATATGAGCATTAATCTCAAGATTTGAACATTACTTTTGATTGAGCAGTTTGGAAACATTATTTTTGTAGAATTGGCAAAGGGACATTTGTGAGCCCTTTGAGGCCCATGGGGAAATAGGAAATAACTTCACCTAAAAACTACATAGAAACTTTCAGAGAAACTTCTTTGTGATGTATGCTTTCATCACACAGAGTAGAAACTTTCTTTTGATTGAGCAGTTTGGAAACAGTCTTTTTGTTGAATCTGCAAATGGATATTTGGAGCTCTTTGTGGCATATGGGGACAAAGGGAATATCTTCAAATAAAAAGTAGACAGAAGCATTCTGAGAAACTTCCTTGTGATGTGTGCATTCATCTCACAGAGTTGAACATTTCTTTTTATTGAGAAGTTTGGAAACAGTCTTTTTGTAGTATCTGTAAATGGATACTTGGAGAGCTTTGGGGTCCATGTTGCAAAAGGAAATATATTCACACAAAAATCAGACTGAAGCATTCTGACAAACTTGTTTGTAATGCCTTTATTCATTTCACAGAGTTGAACCTTTCTTTTCAGTGAGCAGTTTGGAAACAATCTTTTTCTACAATCTCCAAAGGGATATTTCCGAGCCATTTGAGGCCTATGGTGAAAAAGAAATATCTTCACATAACAACTAGACAGAAGCATTCTGAGCAACTTCTTTGTGATGTGTGCATTCGTCTACCAGAGATGAAATTTTCTTTTGATTGAGCAGTTTGGAAAAAGTCTTTTCATAGAATCTGCAGAGGGATATTTGTGAGCTCTTTATGGCCTATGGTGAAATAGGAAATAACATAAAAACATGACAGAACTTTTTTGAGAAACTTCTTTGTGACGTATGCCTTCATCTCACAGATTTGAACATTTGTTTTCATTGAGCAGTTTGGAAACGGTCTGTTTGCAGAATCTGCAAATTGATATTTGGAGCGTTTTGAGTTCTATAGAGAAAAAAGTAATATCTTCACATAAATACTAGACAGAACCATACTGAGAAACTTCTTTGTAATATGTGCATTTATCTCACAGAGTTGAACATTTCTTTTTATGGTGCACTTTGGAAACAGTTTTTTGTAGTATCTGTAGAGGGATATTTCTGATTGGTTTAAGACCCCTACGGTAAAAAAGGAAATATCTACACATAAAAACTAGACAGAAGCATTCTGAGAAACTTCTTTGTGATGTGTGTTTTCATTTAATGCAGCTGAACCTTTCTTTTGATTGAGTAGTTTGGAAACACTCTTTTTGCAGAATCTGCAAATCGATATTTGGAGTGCTTTGAGGTCTATGGTGAAAAAGGAAATATCTTCACATAAAAACTAGACAGAAGCATTCGAAGGAAATTCTTTGTGGTGTGTGCTTTCATCTCACAGAGTTGAACATTTCTTTTGATTGAGCAGTTTGGAAACAGTCTTTTTGTAGAATCTGCAAATGTATACTTGGAGTGCTTTGAGGTCTATGGTGAAAAAGGAAATATCTACATATAGAAACTACACAGAAGCATTCTGAGAAAATTCTTTGTAATGTGTGCATTCATTTCACAGAGTTGAACCTTTCTTTTCTTTTTTTTTTTTTTGTGCCTTTCAAATATCTTTTTTTTTTTTTTTTTATTATACTCTAAGTTTTAGGGTACATGTGCACATTGTGCAGGTTAGTTACATATGTATACATGTGCCATGCTGGTGCGCTGCACCCACTAATGTGTCATCTAGCATTAGGTATATCTCCCAATGCTATCCCTCCCCCCTCCCCCGACCCCACCACAGTCCCCAGAGTGTGATATTCCCCTTCCTGTGTCCTTGTGATCTCATTGTTCAATTCCCACCTATGAGTGAGAATATGCGGTGTTTGGTTTTTTGTTCTTGCGATAGTTTACTGAGAATGATGGTTTCCAATTTCATCCATGTCCCTACAAAGGATATGAACTCATCATTTTTTATGGCTGCATAGTATTCCATGGTGTATATATGCCACATTTTCTTAATCCAGTCTATCATTGTTGGACATTTGAGTTGGTTCCAAGTCTTTGCTATTGTGAATAGTGCCGCAATAAACATACGTATGCATGTGTCTTTATAGCAGCATGATTTATACTCATTTGGGTATATACCCAGTAATGGGATGGCTGGGTCAAATGGTATTTCTAGTTCTAGATCCCTGAGGAATCGCCACACTGATTTCCACAATGGTTGAACTAGTTTACAGTCCCACCAACAGTGTCAAAGTGTTCCTATTTCTCCGCATCCTCTCCAGCACCTGTTGTTTCCTGACTTTTTAATGATTGCCATTCTAACTGGTGTGAGATGATATCTCATAGTGGTTTTGATTTGCATTTCTCTGATGGCCAGTGATGATGAGCATTTTTTCATGTGTTTTTTGGCTGCATAAATGTCTTCTTTTGAGAAGTGTCTGTTCATGTCCTTCGCCCACTTTTTGATGGGGTTGTTTGTTTTTTTCTTGTAAATTTGTTGGAGTTCATTGTAGATTCTGGATATTAGCCCTTTGTCAGATGAGTAGGTTGCGAAAATTTTCTCCCATGTTGTAGATTGCCTGTTCACTCTGATGGTAGTTTCTTTTGCTGTGCAGAAGCTCTTTAGTTTAATTAGATCCCATTTGTCAATTTTGTCTTTTGTTGCCATTGCTTTTGGTGTTTTAGACATGAAGTCCTTGCCCACGCCTATGTCCTGAATGGTAATGCCTAGGTTTTCTTCTAGGGTTTTTATGGTTTTAGGTTTAACGTTTAAATCTTTAATCCATCTTGAATTGATTTTTGTATAAGGTGTAAGGAAGGGATCCAGTTTCAGCTTTCTACATATGGCTAGCCAGTTTTCCCAGCACCATTTATTAAATAGGGATTCCTTTCCCCATTGCTTGTTTTTCTCAGGTTTGTCAAAGATCAGATAGTTGTAGATATGTGGCATTATTTCTGAGGGCTCTGTTCTGTTCCATTGATCTATATCTCTGTTTTGGTACCAGTACCATGCTGTTTTGGTTATTGTAGCCTTGTAGTACAGTTTGAAGTCAGGTAGTGTGATGCCTCCAGCTTTGTTCTTTTGGCTTAGGATTGACTTGGCGATGCGGGCTCTTTTTTGGTTCCATATGAACTTTAAAGTAGTTTTTTCCAATTCTGTGAAGAAAGTCATTGGTAGCTTGATGGGGATGGCATTGAATCTGTAAATTACCTTGGGCAGTATGGCCATTTTCACGATATTGATTCTTCCTACCCATGAGCATGGAATGTTCTTCCATTTGTTCGTGCCCTCTTTTATTTCCTTGAGCAGTGGTTTGTAGTTCTCCTTGAAGAGGTCCTTCACATCCCTTGTAAGTTGGATTCCTAGGTATTTTATTCTCTTTGAAACAATTGTGAATGGGAGTTCACTCATGATTTGGCTCTCTGTTTGTCTGTTGTTGGTGTATAAGAATGCTTGTGATTTTTGTACATTGATTTTGTATCCTGAGACTTTGCTGAAGTTGCTTATCAGCTTAAGGAGATTTTGGGCTGAGACGATGGGGTTTTCTAGATAAACAATCATGTCGTCTGCAAACAGGGACAATTTGACTTCCTCTTTTCCTAATTGAATACCCTTTATTTCCTTCTCCTGCCTGATTGCCCTGGCCAGAACTTCCAACACTATGTTGAATAGGAGCGGTGAGAGAGGGCATCCCTGTCTTGTGCCGGTTTTCAAAGGGAATGCTTCCAGTTTTTGCCCATTCAGTATGATATTGGCTGTGGGTTTGTCATAGATAGCTCTTATTATTTTGAAATACGTCCCATCAATACCTAATTTATTGAGAGTTTTTAGCATGAAGGGTTGTTGAATTTTGTCAAAGGCTTTTTCTGCATCTATTGAGATAATCATGTGGTTTTTGTCTTTGGCTCTGTTTATATGCTGGATTACATTTATTGATTTGCATATATTGAACCAGCCTTGCATCCCAGGGATGAAGCCCACTTGATCATGGTGGATAAGCTTTTTGATGTGCTGCTGGATTCGGTTTGCCAGTATTTTATTGAGGATTTTTGCATCAATGTTCATCAAGGATATTGGTCTAAAATTCTCTTTTTTGGTTGTGTCTCTGCCCGGCTTTGGTATCAGAATGATGCTGGCCTCATAAAATGAGTTAGGGAGGTTTCCCTCTTTTTCTATTGATTGGAATAGTTTCAGAAGGAATGGTACCAGTTCCTCCTTGTACCTCTGGTAGAATTCGGCTGTGAATCCATCTGGTCCTGGACTCTTTTTGGTTGGTAAACTATTGATTATTGCCACAATTTCAGATCCTGTTATTGGTCTATTCAGAGATTCAACTTCTTCCTGGTTTAGTCTTGGGAGAGTGTATGTGTCGAGGAATGTATCCATTTCTTCTAGATTTTCTAGTTTATTTGCGTAGAGGTGTTTGTAGTATTCTGTGATGGTACTTTGTATTTCTGTGGGATCGGTGGTGATATCCCCTTTATCATTTTTTATTGCGTCTATTTGATTCTTCTTTCTTTTTTTCTTTATTAGTCTTGCTAGCGGTCTATCAATTTTGTTGATACTTTCAAAAAACCAGCTCCTGGATTCATTGATTTTTTGAAGGGTTTTTTGTGTCTCTATTTCCTTCAGTTCTGCTCTGATTTTAGTTATTTCTTGCCTTCTGCTAGCTTTTGAATGTGTTTGCTCTTGCTTTTCTAGTTCTTTTAATTGTGATGTTAGGGTGTCAATTTTGGATCTTTCCTGCTTTCTCTTGTGGGCATTTAGTGCTATAAATTTCCCTCTACACACTGCTTTGAATGCGTCCCAGAGATTCTGGTATGTGGTGTCATTGTTCCCGTTGGTTTCAAAGAACATCTTTATTTCTGCCTTCATTTCGTTATGTACCCAGTAGTCATTCAGGAGCAGGTTGTTCAGTTTCCATGTAGTTGAGTGGCTTTGAGTGAGATTCTTAATCCTGAGTTCTAGTTTGATTGCACTGTGGTCTGAGAGATAGTTTGTTATAATTTCTGTTCTTTTACATTTGCTGAGGAGAGCTTTACTTCCCACTATGTGGTCAATTTTGGAATAGGTGTGGTGTGGTGCTGAAAAAAATGTATATTCTGTTGATTTGGGGTGGAGAGTTCTGTAGATGTCTATTAGGTCTGCTTGGTGCAGAGCTGAGTTCAATTCCTGGGTATCCTTGTTGACTTTCTGTCTCGTTGATCTGTCTAATGTTGACAGTGGGGTGTTAAAGTCTCCCATTATTAATGTGTGGGAGTCTAAGTCTCTTTGTAGGTCACTGAGGACTTGCTTTATGAATCTGGGTGCTCCTGTATTGGGTGCATAAATATTTAGGATAGTTAGCTCCTCTTGTTGAATTGATCCCTTTACCATTATGTAATGGCCTTCTTTGTCTCTTTTGATCTTTGTTGGTTTAAAGTCTGTTTTATCAGAGACTAGGATTGCAACCCCTGCCTTTTTTTGTTTTCCATTGGCTTGGTAGATCTTCCTCCATCCTTTTATTTTGAGCCTATGTGTGTCTCTGCACGTGAGATGGGTTTCCTGAATACAGCACACTGATGGGTCTTGACTCTTTATCCAACTTGCTAGTCTGTGTCTTTTAATTGCAGAATTTAGTCCATTTATATTTAAAGTTAATATTGTTATGTGTGAATTTGATCCTGTCATTATGATGTTAGCTGGTGATTTTGCTCATTAGTTGATGCAGTTTCTTCCTAGTCTCGATGGTCTTTACATTTTGGCATGATTTTGCAGTGGCTGGTACCAGTTGTTCCTTTCCATGTTTAGCGCTTCCTTCAGGAGCTCTTTTAGGTCAGGCCTGGTGGTTACAAAATCTCTCAGCATTTGCTTGTCTATAAAGTATTTTATTTCTCCTTCATTTATGAAGCTTAGTTTGGCTGGATATGAAATTCTGGGTTGAAAATTCTTTTCTTTAAGAATGTTGAATATTGGCCCCCACTCTCTTCTGGCTTGTAGGGTTTCTGCCGAGAGATCCGCTGTTAGTCTGATGGGCTTTCCTTTGAGGGTAACCCGACCTTTCTCTCTGGTTGCCCTTAACATTTTTTCCTTCATTTCTACTTTGGTGAATCTGACAATTATGTGTCTTGGAGTTGCTCTTCTCGAGGAGTATCTTTGTGGCGTTCTCTGTATTTCCTGAATGTGAACATTGGCCTGCCTTGCTAGATTGGGGAAGTTCTCCTGGATAATATCCTGCAGAGTGTTTTCCAACTTGGTTCCATTCTCCACATCACTTTCAGGTTCACCAATCAGACGTAGATTTGGTCTTTTCACATAGTCCCATATTTCTTGGAGGCTTTGCTCATTTCTTTTTATTCTTTTTTCTCTAAACTTCCCTTCTCGCTTCATTTCATTCATTTCTTCTTCCATTGCTGATACCCTTTCTTCCAGTTGATCGCATCGGCTCCTGAGGCTTCTGCATTGTTCACGTAGTTCTCGAGCCTTGGTTTTCAGCTCCATCAGCTCCTTTAAGCACTTCTCTGTATTGGTTATTCTAGTTATACATTCTTCTAAATTTTTTTCAAAGTTTTCAATTTCTTTGCCTTTGGTTTGAATGTCCTCCCGTAGCTCAGAGTAATTTGATCATCTGAAGCCTTCTTCTCTCAGCTCATCAAAATCATTCTTCATCCAGCTTTGTTCTGTTGCTGGTGAGGAACTGCGTTCCTTTGGAGGAGGAGAGGTGCTCTGCGTTTTAGAGTTTCCAGGTTTTCTGTTCTGTTTTTTCCCCATCTTTGTGGTTTTATCTACTTTTGGTCTTTGATGATGGTGATGTACAGATGGGTTTTCGGTGTAGATGTCCTTTCTGGTTGTTAGTTTTCCTTCTAACAGACAGGACCCTCAGCTGCAGGTCTGTTGGAATACCGTGCCGTGTGAGGTGTCAGTGTGCCCCTGCTGAGGGGTGCCTCCCAGTTAGGCTGCTCGGGGGTCAGGGGTCAGGGACCCACTTGAGGAGGCAGTCTGCCCGTTCTCAGATCTCCAGCTGCGTGCTGGGAGAACCACTGCTCTCTTCAAAGCTGTCAGACAGGGACACTTAAGTCTGCAGAGGTTACTGCTGTCTTTTTGTTTGTCTGTGCCCTGCCCCCAGAGGTGGAGCCTACAGAGGCAGGCAGGCCTCCTTGAGCTGTGGTGGGCTCCACCCAGTTCGAGCTTCCTGGCTGCTTTGTTTACCTAAGCAAGCCTGGGCAATGGCGGGCGCCCCTCCCCCAGCCTCGTTGCCGCCTTGCAGTTTGATCTCAGACTGCTGTGCTAGCAATCAGCGAGATTCCGTGGGCGTAGGACCCTCTGAGCCAGGTGTGGGATATAGTCTCGTGGTGTGCCGTTTCTTAAGGCGGTCTGAAAAGCGCAATATTCGGGTGGGAGTGACCCGATTTTCCAGGTGCGTCTGTCACCCCTTTCTTTGACTCGGAAAGGGAACTCCCTGACCCCTTGCGCTTCCCAGGTGAGGCAATGCCTCGCCCTGCTTCGGCTCGCCCACGGTGCACACACACACTGGCCTGCGCTCACTGTCTGGCACTCCCTAGTGAGATGAACCCGGTACCTCAGATGGAAATGCAGAAGTCACCCGTCTTCTGCGTCGCTCACGCTGGGAGCTGTAGACCGGAACTGTTCCTATTCGGCCATCTTGGCTCCTAGAGCTGAACCTTTCTTTTCATGGAGAAGTTTGGAAACAGTCTTTTTGTAGTATCTGGAGATGGATATTTGTGACATGTTTAAGGCCTATGCTGAAAAAGGAAATATCTTCACATAAAAACTAGACAGAAGCATTCTGAGAAACTTTTTTGTGATGTGTGCATTCATCTCACATTGTTGAAGCTTTCTTTTCAATGAGCAGTTTGGAAACAGTCTTATCATAGAATGTGCACGGGATATTTGTGAGCCCTTTATGGCCAATGGTGAAATAGGAAATATCTTCATATAAAAACTGGACAGAATATTTCTGAAAAACTTTTTGTGATATATGCTATCATCTCACCGAGTTGAACATTTCTTTTGATTGAGCTGGCTGGAAACCTTCTTTTTGTGGAATCTGCAAATAGATATTTGGAGCGCTTTGAAGCCTATGGTGAAAAAGCAAATATCTTCACATAAAAACTAGACGGAAGCATTCTGAGAAACTTCTTTTTGATGTGTGCATTCATATCACAGAGTTGAAACTTTCTTTTGACTGAGAAGTTTGGAAACAGTCTTTTTGTACAATGTGCAAAGGATTGTTTCAGAACTGTTTGAGGCCCATGGTGAAAAAGAAATATCTTCGCATAAAAACTAGAAGGAAGATTTCTGAGAAACTTTTTGTGATATATGCTATCATCTCACAGAGTTGAACATTTCTTTTGATTCAGCTGGTCGGAAACACTCTTTTTGTGGAATCTGCAAATGGATATTTGGAGCGCTTTGAAGCCTATGGTATAAAAGGAAATATCTTCACAAAAAAACGAGATGGAAACATTCGGAGAAACTTCTTTGTGATGGTGCATTCATCTCACAGTGTTGAACCTTTCTTTTGATTGAGCAGTTTGAAAACAGTCCTTTTGTACAATGTGCAAAGGGATATTTCTGAGCCGTTTGAGGCCTATGGTGGAAAAGAAATATCTTCACATAAAAAATAGAGAGAAACATTCTTACAAACTTCTATGCAATGTTTGCATTCATCTCACAAAGTAGAAACATTTCTTTTGATGCAGCAGTTTGGAAACAGTCTTGTTGTAGTATCTGCAGAGGGATATTTCTGACCGGTTTAAGGCCTATGGTGAAAAAGGAAATATCATCACATAAAAAATAGACAGAAGCACACTGAGAAACATCTTTGGGATGTGTGCATTCAACTCACAGTTGAAGTTTTCTTTTGATTGAGCAGGTTGGAAACACTCTTTTTGTAAAATCTGCAAATGGATGTTTGGAGTGCTTTGAGGTCTACGGTGAAAAATGAAATGTCTTCACATAAAAACTTGGCAGAAGCATTCTGAGAAACTGCTTTGTGATGTGGGCTTTCATTTCATGCAGTTGAACTTTTCTTTTGATTGAGCAGTTTGGAAACACTCTTTTTGTAGTGTCTGCAAATGTATACTAGGAGCGCTTTGAGGCCTGTGTTGAAAAAGGAAATATCTTCACAAAAAAACTTGACAGAAGCATTTTGAGAAACTTCTTTGTAATGTGTGCATTCATCTCACAGAGTTGAACCTCACTTTTGATGGAACAGTTTGGAAACAGTCTTTTTGTAGTGTCTGCAGAGGGATATTTGTGACTGGTTTAAGGCTTATGGTGAAAAAGGAAATATCTTCACATAAAAACTAGACAGCAGCATTTTGAGAAACTTCTTTGTGATGCCTGCATTCATCTCACAGAATTGAACCTTTCTTTTGACTGAGCAGTTTGGAAACAGTCCTTTTGTACAATTTGCAAAGGGATATTTCCGAGCCGTTTGAGACCTATGGTGAAAAAGAAATATCTTCACATAAAAATTAGAGAGAAGCATTCAGAGAAACTTCGTTGTGATTTGTGCATTCATCTAACAGAGTTGAACCTTTCTTTTGATTGAGCAGTTTGGAAACAGTCTTTTCATAGAATCTACACAGGGATATTTATGAGCCCTTTATGGCCTATGGTTCAATAGGAAATATCTTCACATAAAAACTAGACAGAAGCATTCTGAGAAAATTCTTTTTGATGTGGGCTTTCATCTCACGGATTTGAATATTTCTTTTGATTTAGCAGATTGGAAACAGTCTTTTTTGTAGAATCTGCAAATGTATATTCGGATCGCTTTGAGGCCCGTGTTGAAAAAAGAAATATCTTCAACTAAAAACTCGACAGAAGCATTCTCAAGAACTACGTTGCCATGTGTTCATTCATCTGACTGAGTTGAGCCATTCTTTGTATTGAGCAGTTTGGAAACAGTGTTTTTGTAGAATCTGCAAATTTATATTTGGAGTGCTTTGAAGCCTATGGTGAAAATGGAAGTATCTTCACATAAAAACTAGGCACAAGCATTCCGTGAAACTTCTTTGTTATGTGTGCATTCATCCCACCAAGTTGAAACTTTCTTTTGATTGAGCAAGTTTGATACGCTCTTTTTGTTGAATCTGCAAATCGATATTTAGAGCACTTTGAGGCCTATGGTGAAAAAGGAGATATCTTCACATAAAAAAAAAGACAGAAGCATTCTGAGATATCTCTTTGGGATGTGTGCATTCATCTCCCAGAGTTGAAACTGTCTTTTGATTGAGCAGTTTGGAAACAGTCTTTTTCTACAATCTGTAAATGGATATTTTGTAGCCGTTTGAGGCCTATGAGGAAAAAGAAATATGTACACATAAAAACTAGAAAGAAGGATTCAGAGAAACTTCTTTGTGATGTTTGCATTCATCTGACAGTGCAGAACGTTTCTTTTGATTGACCAGTTTGGAAACAGTCTTTTCGTAGAATCTCCACAGGGATATTTGTGAGCCCATTTTGACCTATGGAGAAATAGGAAATATCTTCTCATAAAAACTGCACAGAACATTCCTGAGAAACTACTTTGTGAGATATGCTTTCATCTGACAGAGTTGAACGTTTCTTTTGATTGAGCATTTTGGAAACGGTCTTTTTGTAGACTTTGCAAATAGTTATTTGGAGTGCCTTGAGGACTATGATGAAAAAGGAAATATCTTCATATATAAACTAGACGGAAGCAATCTGAGAAACTTCTTTATGATGCCTACATTCCTCTCACAGAGTTGAGATTTTCTTTTGGTTGAGCAGTTTGGAAACAGTCTTTTTGTAAAATCAGCAAAGGGATATTTCTGAGTCGCTTGAGGCCTATGGTGAAAAAGAAGTATCTTGACATAAAAACTAGAATGAAGCAATCTGAGAAACTTCATTGTGATGTGTATTTCATCTTACAGAGTTGAACCTTTCTTTTCATTGAGAAGTTTAGAAACAGTCTTTTCATAGAATCTGCAAAGAGATATTTGTGAGTTGTTTATGCCCTATTGTGAAATAGGAAGTATCTTCACATAAAAACTAGATAGAAGCATTCTGAGAAACTTCTTTATGATGTGTGCATTCATCTCACAGAGTTTAACATTTCTTTTGAGGGAGCAGTTTGGAAACTGTCTTTTTATAGAATCTACAAATAGATATTTGGAGTGCTTTGATGCCTATGGTGAAAAAGGAAATATATTCACATAAAAACATGACAGAAGCATTGTGAGCAACTCCATTGTGTTTCCTGCATTCATCTCACAGAGCTGAATGTTTCTTTTGATTGAGCAATTTTGAAACACTCTTTCTGTAGAAACTGCAAGTGGATATTTTGAGCGCTTTGAGGTCTATGGTGGAAAAGGAAATAGCTTCAAATAAAAACCA
This sequence comes from Homo sapiens, assembly GCF_000001405.40. Taxonomy (NCBI): domain Eukaryota; kingdom Metazoa; phylum Chordata; class Mammalia; order Primates; family Hominidae; genus Homo; species Homo sapiens. Next base: position 90,330,360 of record NC_000003.12, on the reverse strand, counting down.
GACAGAAGCATTCTGAGGAACTTCTTTGTGATGTGTGCATTCATCTCATGGAGCTGAAACTTTCTTCTCACTCACTGAGCAGTTTTGAAACACTCTTTTTGTAGAATCTGCAAGTGGATACCTGGATCACTTTTCGGCCTCTACTGGAAAAGGAATATCTTCACATAAAACTACATAGAAGCATTCTGAGAAACTTCTTTGTGATGTGTGCATTCACCTCAAAGATTTGAACCTTTATTTTGATTGAGCAGTTTGGAAACAGTCCTTTTGTAGTGTCAGCAAATGGATATTTGGAGCAGTTTGAGGAGTATGGTGGAAAAGGAAATATCTTCACATAAAAACTAGACAAAAGCAGTCTGAGAAACTTCTTTATGATGGGTGCATTGGACTCACAGAGTTGTTCCTTTCTAATGATGGACAAGTTTTGAAACACTCTTTTTGTAGAATCTGCAAGTGGATATTTGGAACTTTTGCAGCCTATAGAGGAAAAGGAAATATCTTCACATAAAAACTAGACAGAAGCATTCTGAGAAATTTCTTTGTGATGTGTGCATGCATCTCACAGATTTGATCCTTTCTTTTCATTGGACAGTTTTGAAACACTCTTATTTTAGGATCTGCAAGTGGATATTTGGAGCGCTTTGCCATCTCTAGTGGAAAAGGAAATATCTTCACATAAAAACCAGACAGAAGCATTCTGAGCAACTTATTTGTGATGTGCACATTCATCTCAAAGAGTTGAACTTTTCTTTTGATTGAGCGGTTTTAAAACACACTTTTTGTAGAATCTGCAAGGGGATATTTGGAGCAATTTGAGGCTTCTACTGGAAAAGGAAATATCTTCACATACAAACTAGGCAGATATTCTGAGAAACTTCTTTGTGACGTGTGCATTCATCTCACATACTTGAAACTTTCTTTAATTGAGCAGCTTTAAACCACTGTTTTTGTAAAATTTGCAAGTCGATATTTGGAGCGCTTTGAGGCCTGTGGTGGAAAAGGAAACATCTTCAAATAAAAACTACACAGAAGCATTCTGAGAAACTTCTTTGTGATGTGTGCATTAAACCGACGGAGTTGAACCTTTCTTTTGATTAAGTGGTTTGGAAACTGCCTTTTTGTTGTATCTGCAAATGTATATTTTGAGCGGTTTGAGGCTTATGACACAAGAGGAAATATCTACCCATAAAAACTAGAAAAAAGCATGCTAAGAAACGTCTTTGTGATGTGTGCATTCAACACACAGAGTTGAACTTTTCTTTTGGCTGAGCAGTTTTTAAACACTCTTTTTGTACTATGTACAAGTGGATATTTGGGGCACTTTGAGGCCTAAGGTGGAAAAGGAAATATCTTCACATAAAAACTAGACAGAAGCATTCTGAGAAAGTTCTTTGTGATGTGTGCATTCAGCTCACAGAGTTGAACCTTTTCTTTAATTGAGCAGTTTTTAAATAATCTTTTTGTAGAATCTGGAACTCCATATTTGGAGCCCTTTTTGGCCTATGATGGAAAAGGAAATACCTTCACACAAAAAGTAGACAGAAGCATTCTGAGAAACTTCTTTGTGATGTGTGCATTCATCTCAAAGAGATGAAAATTTCTTTTGATTGAGCAGTTTGGAAACACTCTTTTTGCAGAATCTACGGATGGATAAATGGAGCACTTTGTGGCCTATAGTGGAAAAGGAAATATCTTCACATAAAAACTGGACAGAAGCATTCTGAGAAACATCTTTGTGATGTTTGCAGTCATCTCACAAAGTTGAATCTTTCTTTTGATTGAGCAGTTTTGAAACAGTCTTTCTGTAGAATCTGCAAGTGGATATTTGGAGCGCTTTGGGGCCTATAGTGGAAAAGGAAATATCTTCACTAAAAAACTAGACAGAAGCATTCTGAGAAACTTCTTTGTGATATGTACATTCATATCACAGAGTTGAACTTTTCTTTTGATTAAGCAGTCTTGAAACACTCTTTTTGTAGAATCTGCAAGTGGATATCTGAAACGCTTTGAGGCCTATAGTGGAAAAGGAAATATCTTCACATAAAAACTAGAAAGCAGCATTTTGAGAAACTTCTTTGTGATGTGTGCTTTCCTCTCAAAGAGTTTAACATTTCCTTTGATTGGGAAATTTGGAAACACCCATTTTGTAGAATCTGCAAGTGGATATTTGGAGTGCTTTGCAACCTGTGGTGGAAAAGGAAATAACTTCAAATAAAAACTAGACAGAAACATTCTGAGAAACTGGTTTGTGAGGTGTGCATTCAGCTCACAGAGTTGAACCTTTATTTTGATTGAGCAGTTTGGAAACAGTCCATTTGTAGTATCTGCAGATGGATATTTGGAGTGCTTTGAGGCCTATAGTGGAAAAAGAAATATCTTTACATAAATCTAGACAGAAGCATTATGATAAACTTCTTTGTGATGGATCCATTCATGTCAGAGAGTTGAATCTTTCTTTTTATTGAGTAGTTTTGAAACAATCTTTTTGTAGAATCTGCAAGTGGATACATGGAGTGCTTTGAGGCCTATGGTGGAAAAGTAAATACTTTCACACAAAAACTAGAAAGAAGCATTTTGAGAAACTCCTTTGTGATGTGTGCATTCATCTCACTGTGGTGAATATTTCTTTTGATTGAGCAGTTTGGAAACACTCGTTTTGTAGAATCTGCAAAGGGCTACTTGTGAGTGCATTGAGGGCTCTGGGGAAACAGGAAATATCTTCACATGAAAACTAGACAGAAACTTTTTGTGAAATTACTTTGTGATGTGTGGTTTTATCTCACAGAGTTGAAACTTCCTTTGATTGAGCAGTTTGGACACCATGGTTTTTTAGAATCTGCAAAGGGATATTTGGAGCACTTTGAGGCCTAAGGTAAAAATGCAAATATCTTCCCATAAAAACTAGGCAGACGCATTCTGAGAAACTTTTTTGTGATGTGTGCATTCAACTCACAGAGCTGAAGATTTCTTATGTTTGAGCAGTGTGGAAAGAGACTTTTTGTAGTATTGGCAAACGAATATTTGGAGTGCATTGAGGCCTATGGTAGAAAAGGAAATATCTTCACAAAAAAAAACAGACAGAAGCATTATGAGAAACTGCTTTGTGATGTGTTCTTTCATCTCACAGAGTTGAAACTTTCTGTTGATAGAGCCGTTTTGAAACACTCTTTTTGTAGAATCTGCTAGTGGATATTTGCAGCACTTTGAGGCCTATGGTTGAAAAGGAAATATCTTCAATTAAAAACCAGACAGAAGCATTCTGAGAAACGTCTTTGTGATGTGTGCATTCATCTCACAGAGTTGAACATTTCTTTGATTCAGCAGTGTGCAAACACTCTTTTTGTAGAATTTGCAAGTGGATATTTGAAGCGTTTTGAGGACTGCAGTGGAAAAAGAATTATCTTCACATAAAAACTAGACAGTAGCAATCTGAGAAACTTTTTTGGATGTGTGTGTTCATCTAACAGAGTTGAACCTTTCCTTTGATTGAGCAGTTTGGAAAAAGTCTTTTTGTATTATCTGCAAATGGATATCTGGAGCGCTTTGAGGCCTACGGTGAAAAAAAAACTATCGTCATATAAAAACTAGACAGAAGTATTCTAAGAAACATCTTTGTGATATGTGCATTCAGGTCACAGAGTTGAACCTTTCTTTTGATTGAACAGTTTGGAAACAGTCCATTTGTAGTATCTACAAATGGATATTTGGGGCGCTTTGAGGCCTATAGTGGAAAAAGAAATATCTTCACATAAATCTAGACAGAAGCATTATGAGAAACTTCTTTGTGATGGATCCATTCATCTCAGAGAGTTGAATCTTTCTTTTTATTGAGTAGTTTTGAAACAATCTTTTTGTAGAATCTGCAAGTGGATACTTGGAGCACTCTGATGCCTATTGTGGAAAAGGAAATATCCTCACATAAAAACTACACAGAAGCATTCTGAGAAACTTCTTTGTGATGTGTGCATTCATCTAACAGAGTTGAACTTTCTTTTGATTGAGTAGTTTGGAAACAATCTTCTTGTAGTATCTGCAAATGGAAATTTGGAGCGCTTTGAGGTCTTTCATGGAATAAGAAATATATTCACATAAAAACTACACAGAAGCATTCTGAGAAACTACTTTGTGAAGTGTGCATTCATCTCACAGTGTTCACCCTTTGTTTTAATTGAGGAGATTTGAAACACTCTTTTTGTTGAATCTGAAAAGAGATATTTGTGATCCCATTGAGGCCTATGGGGAAATAGGAAATATATTCACATAAAGACTAGACAGAAACTTTGTGAGAAACTTCTTTGTGATGTGTGCTTTCATCACACAGAGTTGAACCTTTCTTTTGATTGAGCAGTGTGGAAGCAGTCTTTTTGTACAATCTGCAAAGGGATATTTGGGGTGCTTTGAAGTCTGTGTTGAAAAAGAAACAACTTCACATAAAAAACAGACAGAAACATTCTGAGAAACTTTTTTGTGATGTGTGCATTTATCTCTGAGATTTGAACCTCCCTTTTGAGTGATCAGTTTGGAAACAGTCGTTCTGTAGTATCTGCAAATGGATATTTTGGAGCTCTTTGTGGTCCATAGTGGAAAAGGAAATATCTTCACATAAAAACTAGACAGAAGCATTCTGAGAAACTTCGTTGTGATGTGTGCATTCATCTCACTGAGTTGAACCTTTCTTTTGATTGAGCAGTTTTGAAAAACTATTTTGTGGAATCTGCAAGTGGATATTTGGAGCACTTTGAGGCCTATGGTGGAAAACGAAATATCTTCTCATAAAAGCAAGACAGAAGAATTATGAGAAAGTACTCTGAGATGTGTTCATACATCTCACAGAGTTGAACATTACTTTTGATTGCACAGTATGGAAACAGTTGTTTTGTAGAATCTGCAAAGTGATATTTGTGTACCTATTGAGGCCTATGGGGTAATGGGAAATATACTCACATAAAAACTAGACAGAAGCTTTCTGAGAAACTTATTTGTGATGTGTTTATTCATCTCACAGAGTTGAAACTTTCTTTTGATTGAGCAGTTTGCAAACAGTCTTTTTGTAATATCTACAAATGGATATTTGGAGTGCTTTGAGGCCTATCATGAAAAAGGAAATATCTTCACAAAGAAAAATAATCAGAAGCATTCTGAGAAACTTCTTTGTGATGTGTGCATTCATCTCACAGCATTGAATCTTTCTTTTGATTGAGCAGTTTACAAACACTCTTTTTGTAGAATCTGCAAGTGGATATTTGGAGCGCTATTAGGCCTATGGTGCAAAAGGAAGTATCTTCACATAGAAAGAAGCATTATGTTAAACTGCTTCGTGATGTGTGCTTTCATCTCACAGAGTTGAACCTTTCCTTTTAGCAGTTTTGAATCACTCTTTTTCAGAATCTGCAAGTGGATATTTGGAGTGCTTTGAGGCATGTGGTGGAAAAGGATATATCTTCACTTAAAACTAGACAGAAGCATTCTGAGAAACTTCTTTGTGTTGTGTGCATTCATCTAACTGATTTGAGCCTTTCCTTTGACTGAGCAGTTTTGAAAGAGTCCTTTTGTAGAATCTGCAAAGGGATATTAGTGAGCCCTTTAAGGCCTATGGTGAAATAGGAAATATCTTCACACAAAAACTAGACAGAAGCATTCTAAGAAACTTCTTCATGATGTATGCTTTCATCTCACAGAGTTGAACCTCACTTTTGATTGAGCAGTTTGGAAACAGTCTTTTTGTAGAATCTGCAAATCGATATTTGGAGTACTTTCAGGCCTATATTGAAAAGGAAAATATATTCACATAAAAACTAGACAGAAGCATGCTGAGAAACTTCTTTGTGACCTGTGCATTCAACTCACAGGGTTGAAGGTCTCTTTTGATTCAGCAGTTAGGAAAGAGTCTTTTTGTAGGATCTGCAAGTAGATATTTAGAGCACTTTGAGGCCTGTGGTGGGAAATGAAATATCTTCACATAAAAACTAGACAGAAGCATTCTGATAAACTTCTTTGGAGGTTTGCATTTAACTCACAGAGTTGAGCCTCTTTTTTGATTGAGCAGTTTTGAGTCACTCTTTTTGTAGAATCTGCAAGTGGATATTTGGAGTGCTTTGAGGCCTATGGTGGAAAAGGAAATATCTTCACATAAAAACTAGACAGAAGCATTCTGAGAAACTACTTTGTGATGTGTGGATTCATCCAAAAAAGTTGAACCTTTCTTTTGATTGAGGAGTTTTGAAACACTCTTTTTGTAGAATCTGCAAGTGGATATTTGGAGTGCTTTGATGCCTATGGTGGAAAAGGAAATATCTTCACAAAGAAAAATAATCAGAAGCATTCTGAGAAACTACTTTGTGATGCGTGGATTCATCCAAAAAAGTTGAACCTTTCTTTTGATTGCAGAGTTTTGAAACACACTTTTTGTAGTATCTGCCAAGGAATATTTGTGAGCCCCATGAGGCCTAAGAGGAAATAGGAAATATCTTCACATAAAAACTAGACAGAAAATTTCTGATAAACTTCGTTGTGATGTGTGCTTTCGTTTCACAGAGTTGAAACTTTCTTTAGATTGAGCAGTGTGGAAACAGTCTTTTTCAAGAATCTGCAAGTGGATATTTGGAGTACTTTGTGGATTATAATGGAAAAGGAAATATCTTCACTTAAAAACTAGACAGAAGCATTCTGAGAAACTTCTTCATGATGTGTGTATTCAACTCACAGAATTGAACCATTCTTTTGATTGAGAGGTTTTGAAACACAGTTTTTGTAGAATCTGCAAGTGGATGTTTGGAGCACTTCACGTCCTCTAGTGGAAAGGAAACATCTTCACATAAAAACTAGACAGAAGCATTCTGAGGAAATTCTTTCTAATGTGTGCATTCACCTCACAGATTTGAACTTTCCTTTGATTGAGTAGTTTTGAAACACTCTTTTTGTAGAATCTGTAAGTGGATATCTGGAGCGCTTTGAGACCTATGGTGGAAAATGAAATATCTTCACATAGAAACCAGACACAAGCTTTGTGAGAAACTTCTTTGTGATGTGTGCATTCATCTCACAGAGTTGAAACTTTCTTTTGATTGAGCAGTTTTGAAACGCTCTTTTTGGAATATCTGCAACTGGATATTTGGAGAGCTTTGCAGCATCTAGTGCAAAAGTAAATATCTTCACATAAAAACTAGACAGAAGCATTCTGAGAAACTTCTTTGTGATGTGTGCATTCACCTCACAGAATTGAACATTTCCTTTGATTGAGCAGTTTGGAAACACTCTTTTTGTAGAATCTGAAAGTGGATATTTGGAGGGCTTTTCAGCCTCTACTGAATTCATCTCACATAGTTGAACCTTTCTTTTGATTGAGCAGTTTTGAAACCTTCTTTTTGCAGAATCTGCATATTTATTTTAGGAGCGATTTGAGGCCTACGGTGGAAATGGAAATATCTTCACATAAAAACTAGAAAGAAGCATTCTGAGAAACTTCTTTGTGATGTGTGCATTCATCTCACAGAGTTGAAACTTTCTTCTGATTGAGCAGTTTGGAAACAGTCTTTTTATAGTATCTGAAAGTGGATATTGGAGCGGTTTGAGGCCTGTGCTGGAAAAGCAAATATCTTCACATAAAAACTAGACAAAAGCACTCTGAGAAAATTCTTTGTGATTTGTGTATTCACCTCACAGTTTTCAACCTTTCTTTTGATTGAGCAGTTTTGAAACACTCTTTTTGTATAATCTGCAAGTGGATATTTGGAGCACATAGATGCCTATGGTGGAAAAGGAAATATCTTCACACAAAAACGACAGAGAAGCATTCGGAGAAACTTCTCTCTCATGTGTCCATTCAACTCACAGAGTTGAAACTTTCTTCTGATTAAGCAGTTTGGAAACAGTCTTTTTGTAGTATCTGAAAGTGGATATTGGAGTGGTTTGAGGCCTGTGCTGGAAAAGCAAATATCTTCACATAAAAACTAGACAGAAGCATTCTGAGAAAATTCTTTGTGATGTCTGCATTCATCTCACAGAATTGAACTTTTCTTTTGATTGAGCAGTTTTGAAATTCTCTTTTTGTGGTACCCTGCAAGTGGATATTTTGAGCGCTTTGCAGCCCATAGTGGAAAGGAAATATCTTCACATAAAAACTAGACAGAAGCATACTGAGAAACTTCTTTGTGATGTGTGCATTCATCTCACAGAGTTGAACCTTTCTTTTGATTGAGCAGTTTGGAAACAGTCTTTTTGTATGATCTGCAAATGGATATTTGGAGCAGCTTGAGGCCTACGGTGGAAAAGGAAATATCTTGATATAAAAACTAGACAGAATCATTCAGAGAAACTTCTTTGTGATGTGTGCATTCAACTCACAGAGTTCAACCATTCTTTTGATTTATAAGTTTTGAAACACAGTTTTTGTAGAATCTGCAAGTGGATGTTTGGAGCGCTTCATGTCCTCTCGTGGAAAAGGAAATATCTTCACATAGAAACTAGACAGAAGCATTCTGTGAAACTTCATTGTGATGTGTGCATTCAACTCACAGAGTTGAAACTTTCTTTTCATTGAGCAGTTTTGAAACATTATTTTTGTAGAATCTGCAAGTGGATATTTGGAGCACTTTTTGGCATCTAGTGTAAAAGGTAATACCTTCACATAAAAAAAAGACAGAAGCATTCTGAGAAACTTCTTTGTGATGTGTACATTTGACTCACAGAGTTGTAACTTTCTTTTGATTAAGCAGTTTTGAAGCACTCTTTTTGTGGACTCTGCAAGTGGATATTTGGAACACTTTTTGGCCAGTATTGGAAAAGAAATGTCTTCACATAGAAACTAGACAGAAGCATTCTGAGAAACGTCTTTGTGATGTGTGCATTCATCTCATAGAGTTGAACCTTTCTTTGTTTTTTATTTTATTATTATTATACTTTTATTTTTAGGGTACATGTGTACAATGTGCAGGTTAGTTACATATGTATACATGTGTCATGCTGGTGTGCTGCACCAATTAACTCGTCATTTAGCATTAGTTCTACCTCCTAGTCCTGTCCCTCCCCACTCCCCACACCCCACAACAGTCCCCAGAGTGTGATGTTCCCTTCCTGTGTCCATGTGTTCTCATTTTTCAATTCCCACCTATGAAAGAGAACATGCAGTGTTTGGTTTTTTGTCCTTGCAATAGTTTACTGAGAATGATGATTTCCAATTTCATCCATGTCCCTACAAAGGACATGAAGTCATCATTTTTATGTCTGCCTAGTATTCCATGGTGTATTTGTGCCACATTTTCTTAATCCAGTCTATCATTGTTGGACATTTGTATTGGTTCCAAGTCTTTGCTATTGTGAATAGTGCCACAATAAACATATGTGTGCATGTGTCTTTATAGCAGCATGATTTATAGTCCTTTGGGTATATACCCAGTAATAGGATGGCTGGGTCAAATGGTATTTCTAGTTCCAGATATATGCACCCAATACAGGAGCACCCTTATTCATAAAGTATGTCCTGAGTGACATATAAAGAGACTTAGACTGCCCCACAATAATAATGGGAGACTTTAACACCCCATTGTCAACATTAGACAGATCAACGAGACAGAAAGTTAACAAGGATACCCAGGAATTGAACTCAGCTCTGCACCAAGTGGACTTAATAGACATCTACAGAACTCTTCACCCCAAATCAACAGAATATACATTTCACCACACCTATTCCAAAACTGACCACATAGTTGGAAGTAAAACTATCCTCAGCAAATGTCAAAGAACAGAAATTATAACAAACTGTCTCTCAGACCACAGTGCAATCAAACTAGAACTCAGGATTAAGAAACTCACTCAAAACCGCTCAACTACATGGAAACTGAACAACCTGCTCCTGAATGACTACTGGGTACATAATGAAATGAAGGCAGAAATAAAGATGTTCTTTGAAACCAACGAGAACAAAGACACAACATACCAGAATCTCTGGGACACATTCAAAGCAGTGTGTAGAGAGAAATTTATAGCACTAAATGCCCACAAGAGAAAGCAGGAAAGGTCCAAAATTGACACCCTAACATCACAATTAAAAGAACTAGAAAAGCAAGAGCAAATACATTTAAAAGCTAGCAGAAGGCAAGAAATAACTAAAATCACAGCAGAACTGAAGGAAATAGAGAAAAAAAAAACCCCTTCAAAAAATTAATGAATCCAGGATCTGGTTTTTTGAAAGGATCAACAAAATTGATAGACTGCTAGCAAGACTAATAAAGAAGAAAAGAGAGACAAACCTTTCTTTTGATTGAGCAGTTTGGAAACATTCTTTTTGTAGAATATGCAAGTGGATATTTGGAGTGCTTTGAGGCCTACCGTGGAAAAGGAAATATCTTCAGAAAAAAACAACACAGAAGCATTCTCAGAGACTTCTTTGTGATGTGTACATTCAACTCACAGAGTTGTACCTTTCTTTTGATTAAGCAGTTTGAAAACACTCTTTCTGTAGTATCTGCAAGTGGATATTTGGAGCGGTTTGAGGACAATGGTGGAAAAGGAAATGTCTTCACATAAAAACTAGACAGAAGCATTCTGAGAAACTTCATTGTGATGTCTGCATTCAATTAACAGAGTTGAACCTTTCTTTTGATTGAGCAGTTTTGATACACTCTTTTTGTAGAATCTGCAAGTGGATATTTGGAGCACTTTTCAGCCTCTAGTGGATTCCTCTCACAGAGTTGAACCTTTCTTTTGATTGAGCAGTTTTGAAACACTCTTTTTGTAGAATCTGTAAGTGGAAATTTGGAACGCTTTGCGGCCTATTGTGGAAAAGGAATTATCTTCACATAAAAACTAGACAGAAGCATTCTGAGAAACTACGTTCTGATGTGTGCATTCCTCTCACAGAGTTGAACTTTTCTTTAGATTGAGCAGTTTTGAAAAACTCTTTTGCTGGAATCTGCAAGTGGATATTTGGAGCGCATTGGGGCCTGTGCTGTTAAAGGATATATCTTCACATAAAAATTAGACAGAAGCATTCTGAGAAACTTCTTTGTGATGTGTGCATTCCGCTTACAGAGTTGAACCTCTCTTTAGATTGAGCAGTGTTGACACACTCTTTTTGTAGAATCTGCAAGTGGATATTTTGAGCACTTTGAGGCCTATGGTGTAAAAGGAAATTCCTTCATATAAAAACTACACAGAAACATTCTGAGAAACTTCTTTGTGATGTGTACATTCATCTCACAGAGTTGAAACTTTCTTTTGATTGAGCAGTTTTGAAACAATCTTTTTATAGAATTTGCAACTGGATATTTGGAGCGTTTTGTGGCCTCTAGTGGAAAAGGAGATATATTCACATAAAAACTAGATAGAAACATTCTGAGAAACTTCTTGGTGATGTGTGTATTCAACACACAGAGTTGAACCTTTCTTTTGATTGAGAAGTTTGGAAAGAGTCTTTTTGTAGTATCTGCAAGTGGATGTTTGCAGTGCTTTGAAGACTATATGGAAAAGAAAATATCTTCACATAAAAACTAGACAGAAGCATTCTGAGAAACTTCCTTGTGATGTGTGCATTCATCTCACAGAGTTGAAACTTTCTTTTGATTAAACAGTTTTGAAACACTCTTTTTGTGGAATGTGCAAGTGCATATTTGGAGCGCTTTGATACCTATGGTGAAAGAGGTAATATCTTCACATATAAAGGAGACAAACCACTCTGAGAAACTTCTTTGTGATGTGTGTATTCAACTCACAGTTTTCAACCTTTCTTTTGCTTGAGCAGTTTTGAAACTCTCTTTTTGTAGAATTTGCAAGTGGATATTTGGAGCGCTTTGAAGCCTATGGTGGAAAGGGAAATATCTTCACATAAAAACGACAGAGAAGCATTCTGATCAACTTCTTTGTGATGCGTGCATTCAACTCACAGAGTTGAAACTTTCTTCTGACTGAGCAGTTTGGAAACAGTCTTTTTGTAGTATCTGAAAGTGGATATTTGGAGCAGCTTGAGGCCTATCCTGGAAAAGGAAATATCTTCACATAAAAACTAGACAGAAGCATTCTGAGAAAATTCTTTGTTATGTCTGCATTCATCTCACAGAATTAAACTTTTCTTTTGATTGAGTAGTTTTGAAACTCTCTTTTTGTGGTAAATGCAAGTGGATATTTGAGTGCTTTGCTGCCCGTAGTGATAAAGGAAATATCTTCACATAAAAACTAGACAGAAGCATTCTGAGAAACTTCTTTCTATGTGTGTTCATGTCACAGAGTTCAACATTTCTTTTGATAGAGCAGTTTTTAAACACTCTTTTTGTAGAATCTGCAAGTGGATATTTGGAGCACATTGTGGCCTATAGTGGAAAAGGAAATATCTTCACATAAAGACTAGACTGAAGCATTCTGAGTATCATTTTGTGATGCGTGCCTTCATCTCACAGAGTTGAACATTTCTTTTGATTGAGCAGTTTGGAAACATTCCTTTTGTAGAATCTGCAAGTGGATATTTGGAGCGCTTTGGGCCTATAGTAGACAAGGAAATATCTTCAAATAAAAACTAGACAGAAGCATGCTGGAAATCTTCTTTGTGATGAGGTAACAGTCTTTTTGTAGTATCTGCGAATGGATATTAGGAGCGATTTGAGGCCTATAGTGGAAAAGGGAACATCTTCACATAAAAACTACACAGAAGCATTCTGAGAAACTTCTTTGTTATGTGTGCATTCATCTCAGAGTTGAATCTTTCTTTTGATTTAGCAATTTTTAAACACAGATTTTGTAGAATCTGCAAGTGGATATTTGGAGCACTTTGCGGCCTGTAGTGGAAAAGGTAATATCTTCACATAAAAACTAGACAGAAGCAGTCCGAGAAACTGCTTTCAGATATGTGTATTCAATACACAGAGTTGAAACTTTCTTTTGATTGAGCAGTTTTGAAACACTCTTTTTGTAGAATCTGCAAGTGGATATTTGGTGTTCTTTGTGGCCTATAGTGGAAAAGGAAATATCTTTACATAAAAATTAGACAGAAGCATTCTGATAAACTTATTTGTGACGTGTGCTTTCAACTCACAGACATGAACCTTTGTTTTGATTCAGCAGTTTTGAAATACTCTTTTTGTAGAATCTGCAAGTGGGTGCTTGGAACCCTTTGAGTCCTAAGTTGGAAAAGGATATATCTTCATATTAAGACTAGACAAAAGCATTCTGAGAAACCTCTTTGTGATGTGTGCATTCAACTCGCAGAGTTGAACCTTTCTTTTTATTCAGCAGTTTGGAAACAGAATTTTTGTAGTATCTGCGAGTGGATATTTGGAGCGCCTTGAGGCCTATAGTGGAAAAGGAAATATCTTCACATAAAAACTAGGCAGAAGAATTCTGAAAAACTTCTTTGTGATGAGTTCATTCAACTCACATTGCTGAACATCTCTTTTGATTGAGGAGTTTTAAAACACTATTTTTGTAGAATCTGCAGGTGGATAGTTGGAGTGCTTTGAGGCCTCTAGTGGAAAAGGAAATTTCTTCACAGAAAAACTAGACAGAAGCATTCTCAGAAATTTATTTGTGGTGTGTGCATTCATCTCACAGAGTTGAACTTTTCTTTTGATTGAGGAGGTTTGAAACTCTCTTTTTGTGGTATCTGCAAGTGGATATTTTTAGCGCTTTGTGGCCCATAGTGGAAAAGGAAATATCTTCACATGAAAATTAGACAGAAGCATTCTGAGAAACTACTTTCTGATGTGTGTGTTTATGTCACAGAGTTGAACGTTTCTTTTGATTGAGCAGCTTGGAAACACTCTTTTTGTAGTATCTGCAAGTGGATATTTGGAGCGCTTTGCAGACTATAGCCGAAAAGGAAATATCTTCACTTAAAAACTAGACCCAATCATACTGAGAAGCTACTTTTTGATGTGTGCATTCATCTCACAGAGTTGAAATTTTCTTTTGATTGAGCAGTTTTTAAACACTCTTTCTGTAGAATCTGCATGTGGATATTTGGAGTGCATTGTGGCCTATAGTGGAAAAGGAAACATCTTCACATAAAAGCTAGACAGAAGCATTCTGAGAAACTTCTTTGTGATGTGTGCATTCATCGCACATAGTTGAACCTTTCTTTTGATTGAGCACTTTAGAAGCACTCTTTATGTAGAATCTGCAAGGGATACTTGGAGTGCTTTGCAGGCTATACTGGAAAAGGCAATATCTTCTCATAAAAACTAGAAAGAAGCATTCTGAGAATCTTCTTTGTGATGTGTGCCTTCATCTCAGAGAGTAGAACGTTTCTTTTGATAGAGGAGTTTGGAAGCACTTTTTTTGCAGAAGCTGCAACTGGATATTTGGAGTGCTTTGGGGCCTACAGTGGAAAAGGAAATATCTTCAAATAAAAACTAGACAGAAGCATGCTGAGAATCTTCTTTGTGCTGTGGAAACAGTCTTTATGTAGTATCTGCAAATGGACATAAGGAGAGTTTTGAGGCCTATAGTGGAAAAGGGAATATCTTCATATAAAATCTACACAGAAGCATTCTGAGAAAGTTTTTTGAGATGTGTGCATTCATCTCAGAATTGAACATTTCTTTTATTTTAGCTATTTTTAAAAACACTTTTTGTGGAATCTGAAAGTGGATATTTCGATCACTTTGCGGCCTAAAGAGGAAAAGGTAATATCTTCACATAAAAACTAGACCGAAGCATCCTGAGAAACTTCTTTGGGATGTGTGCATTCAACACACAGAATTCAAACTTTCTTTTGATTGGGCAGTTTTGAAACACTCTTCTTGTAGTATCTGCAAGTGGATATTTGGAGCTCTTTGCGGCCTTTAGTGAAAAAGGAAATATCTTTACATACAAACTAGACAGAAGCATTCTGAGAAACTACTTTGTGATTTGTGCTTTCAACTCACAGACATGAACGTTTGTTTTGACTGAGCAGTTTTGAAACACTCTTTTTGGAGAGTCTCAAAGTGGATGTTTGGAGCGCTTTGAGTCCTAAGGTGGAAAAAGGAAATATATTCACATAATAACTAGACAGAAGCACTCTGAGAACCTTCTTTGTGACGTGTGCATTCAACTCAGAGAGTTAAACAATTCTTCTTTTTTTATGGCAGATTTATACTTTTTTCTTTTATTATTATATTTTAAGTTTTAGGGTACATGTACACAATGTGCAGGTTAGTTACATATGTACACATGTGCCGTGCTGGTGCACTGCACCCACTAACTCGTCATCTAGCATTAGGTATATCTCCCAATGCTATACCTCTCCCCTTGCCCCACCACAAAACAGGCCCCAGAGTCTGTTGTTCCACTTCCTGTGTCCATGTGATCTCACTGTTCAATTCCCACCTATGAGTGAGAATATGCGGTGTTTGGTTTTTCATTCTTGCGATAGTTTACTAAGAATGATGATTTCCAATTTCATCCATGTCCCTACAAAGACATGAACTCATCATTTTTTATGGCTGCATAGTATTCCATGGTGTATATGTGCCACATTTTCTTAATCCAGTCTATCGTTGTTGGACATTTGGGTTGGTTCCAAGTCTTTGCTATTGTGAATAATGCCACAATAAACATACATGTGCATGTGTCTTTATAGCAGCATGATTTATAGTCCTTTGGGTATATACCCAGTAATGGGATGGCTGGGTCAAATGGTATTTCTAGTTCTAGATCCCTGAGGAATTGCCACACTGACTTCCACAATGGTTGAACTAGTTTACAGTCCCACCAACAGTGTAAAAGTGTTCCTATTTCTCCACATCCTCTCCAGCAACTGTTGTTTCCTGACTTTTTAATGATTGCCATTCTAAGTGGTGTGAGATGGTATCTCACTGTGGTTTTGATTTGCATTTCTCTGATGGCCAGTGATGATGAGCATTTTTTCATGTGTTTTTTGGCTGCATGAATGTCTTCTTTTGAGAAGTGTCTGTTCATGTTCTTTGCCCACTTTTTGTTGGGGTTGTTTGTTTTTTTCTTGTAAATTTGTTGGAGTTCATTGTAGATTCTGGATATTAGCCCTTTGTCAGATGAGTAGGTGGCAAAAATTTTCTCCCATTTTGTAGGTTGCCTGTTCAATCTGATGGTAGTTTCTTTTGCTGTACAGAAGCACTTTAGTTTAATTAGATCCCATTTCTCAATTTTGTCTTTTGTTGCCATTGCTTTTGGTGTTTTAGACATGAAGTCCTTACCCATGCCTATGTCCTGAATGGTATTGCCTAGGTTTTCTTCTAGGGTTTTTATGGTTTTAGGTCTAACATTTAAGTCTTTAATCCATCTTGAATTGATTTTTGTATAAGGTGTAAGGAAGGGATCCAGTTTCAGCTTTCTATATATGGCTAGCCAGTTTTCCCAGCACCATTTATTAAATAGGGAATCCTTTCCCCTTGTTTGTTTTTCTCAGGTTTGTCAAAGATCAGATAGTTGTAGATATGCAGCATTATTTCTGAGGGCTCTGTTCTGTTCCATTGATCAATATCTCTGTTTTGGTACCAGTAACATGCTGTTTTGGTTACTGTAGCCTTGTAGTATAGTTTGAAGTCAGGTAGTGTGATGACTCCAGCTTTGTTCTTTTGACTTAGGATTGACTTGGTGATGCGGGCTCTTTTTTGTTTCCAATATGAACTTTAAAGTAGTTTTTTCCAATTCTGTGAAGAAAGTCATTGGTACCTTTATGGGGATGGCATTGAATCTATAAATTACCTTGGGCAGTATGGTCATTTTCATGATAATGATTCTTCCTACCCATGAGCATGGAATGTTCTTCCATTTGTTTGTATCCTCTTTTATTTCCTTAAGCAGTGGTTTGTAGTTCTCCTTGAAGAGGTCCTTCACATCCCTTGTAAGTTGGATTCCTATGTATTTTATTCTCTTTGAAACAATTGTGAAGGGGAGTTCACTCATGATTTGGCTCTCTGTTTGTCTGCTGTTGGTGTATAAGAATGCTTGTGGTTTTGGAGCATTGATTTTGTATCCTGAGACTTTGCTGAATTTGCTTATCAGCTTAAGGAGATTTTGGGCTGAGACAATGGGGTTTTCTAGATATACAATCATGTCAAAAACCCTTCAAAAAATTAATGAATCCAGGAGCTGGTTTTTTTGAAGGGATCAACAAAATAGACCAATGGCAAGACTAATAAAGAAAAAAAGAGAGAAGAATCAAATAGACACAATAAAAAATGATAAAGAGGATATCACCACCAATCCCACAGAAATACAAACTACCATCAGAGAATATTACAAACACCCCTAGGCAAATAAAGTAGAAAATCTAGAAGAAATGGATAAATTCCTCGACACATACACTCTCCCAAGACTAAAACAGGAAGAATTTGAATCTAGGAATAGACCAATAACAGGATCTGAAATTGTGGCAATAATCAACAGCTTACCAACCAAAAAGAGTCCAGGACCAGATGGATTCACAGTGGAATTCTATCAGAGGTACAAGGAGGAACTGGCACCATTCCTTCTGTAGCTATTCCAATCAATAGAAAAAGAGGGAATCCTCCCTAACTCATTTTAGGAGGCCAGCATCATTCTGATACCAAAGCCTGGCAGAGACACAACCAAAAAAGAGAATTTTAGACCAATATCCTTGATGAACATTGATGCAAAAATCCTCAATAAAATACTGGCAAAACGAATCCAGAAGCACATCCAAAAGCTTATCCACCATGATCAAGCGGGCTTCAACCCTGGGATGCAAGGCTGGTTCAATATATGCGAATCAATAATGTAATCCAGCATATAAACAGAGCCAAAGACAAAAACCACATGATCATCTCAATAAATGCAGAAAAGGCCTTTGACAAAATTCAACAACCCTTCATGCTAAAAACTCTCAATAAATTAGGTATTGATGGGACATATTTCAAAATAATAAGAGCTATCTATGACAAACCCACAGCCAATATCATACTGAATGGGCAAAAACTAGAATCATTCCCTTTGAAAACTGGCACAATTGGAGGTCTGAGAATGGGCAGACTGCCTCCTCAAGTGGGTCCCTGACCCCTGATCCCCGAGCAGCCTAACTGGGAGGCACCCCCCAGCAGGGGCACACTGACACCGCACACAGCAGGGTATTCCAACAGACCTGCAGCTGAGGGTCCTGTCTTTTAGAAGGAAAACTAACAAACAGAAAGGACATCCACACCAAAAACCCATGTGTACATCACCATCATCAAAGACCAAAAGTAGATAAAACCACAAAGATGGGGAAGAAACAGAACAGAAAAACTGGAAACTCTAAAAAGCAGAGCACCTCTCTTCCTCCAAAGGAACGCAGTTCCTCACCAGCAACGGAACAAAGCTGGATGGAGGATGACTTTGACGAGCTGAGAGAAGGCTTCAGATGATCAAATTACTCTGAGCTTCGGGAAGACATTCAAACCAAAGACAAAGAAGTTGAAAACTTTGAAAAAAATTTAGAAGAATGTATAACTAGAATAACCAATACAGAGAAGTGCTTAAAGGAGCTGGTGGAGCTGAAAACCAAGGCTGGAGAACTATTTGAAGAATGCAGAAGACTCAGGAGCTGATGAGATCAACTGGAAGAAAGGGTATCAGCAATGGATGATGAAATGAATGAAATGAAGTGAGAAGGGAAGTTTAGAGAAAAAAGAATAAAAAGAAATGAGTAAAGCCTCCAAGAAATATGGGACTATATGAAAAGACCAAACCTACATCTCATTGGTTTACCTGAAAGTGATGGGGAGAATGGAACCCAGTTGGAAAACACTCAGCAGGATATTATCCAGGAGAACTTCCCCAATCTAGCAAGGCAGGCAAACGTTCAGACTCAGGAAATACAGAGAACGCCACAAAGATACTCCTCGAGAAGAGCAACTCCAAGACACATAATTGTCAGATTCACCAAAGTTGAAATGAAGGAAAAAATGTTAAGGGCAGCCAGAGAGAAATGTCAGGTTACCCTCAAAGGGAAGCCCATCAGACTAACAGCAGATCTCTTGACAGAAACCCTACAAGCCAGAAGAGAGTGGGGACCAATATTCAACATTCTTAAAGAAAAGAATTTTCAACCCAGAATTTCATATTCAGCCAAACTAAGCTTCATAAGTGAAGGAGAAATAAAATACTTTACAGACAAGCAAAGGCTGAGAGATTTTGTCACCACCAGGACTACCCTAAAAGAGCTCCTGAAGGAAGTGCTAAACATGGAAAGGAAAGAAACAACCGGTACCAGCCACTGCAAAATCATGCCAAAATGTAAAGACCATCAAGACGAGGAAGAAACTGCATCAACTAATGAGCAAAATAACCAGCTAACATCATAATGACAGGATCAAATTCACACATACCAATATTAACATTAAATGTAAATGGACTAAGTGCTCCAATTAAAAGACACAGACTGGCAAATTGGATAAAGAGTCAAGACCCATCAGTGTGCTGTATTCAGGAAACCCATCTCACGTGCAGAGACACACATAGGCTTAAAATTAAAGGATGGAGGAAGACCTACCAAGCAAATGGAAAACAAAAAAAGGCAGGGGTTGCAATCCTAGTCTCTAATAAAACAGACTTTAAACCAACAAACATCAAAAGAGACAAAGAAGGCCATTACATAATGGTAAAGGGATCAATTCAACAAGAAGAGCTAACTATCCTAAATATATATGCACCGAATACAGGAGCACCCAGATTCATAAAGCAATTCCTGAGTGACCTACAAAGAGACTTAGACTCCCACACATTAATAATGGGAGACTTTAACACCCCACTGTCAACATTAGACAGATTAATGAGTCAGAAAGTCAACAAGGATACCCAGGAATTGAACTCAGCTCTGCACCAAGTGGACTTAATAACATCTACAGAACTCTCCACCCCAAATCAACAGAATATACATTTTTTCAGCACCACACCACACCTATTCCAAAATTGACCACATAGTTGGAAGTAAAGCTCTCCTCAGCAAATGTAAAAGAACAGAGATTATAACAAACTATCTCTCAGACCACAGTGCACTCAAACTAGAACTCAGGATTAAGAATCTCCCTCAAAACTGCTCAACTACATAGAAACTGAACAACCTGCTCCTGAATGACTACTGGGTACATAACGAAATGAAGGCAGAAATAAATATGTTCTTTGAAACCAATGAGAACAAAGACACAACATACCAGATTCTCTGGGATGCATTCAAAGCAGTGTGTAGAGGGAAATTTATAGCACTAAATGCCCACAAGAGAAAGCAGGAAAGATCCAAAATGGACACCCTAACATCACAATTAAAAGAACTAGAGAAGCAAGAGCAAACTCATTCAAAAGCTAGCAGAAGGCAAGAAATAACTAAAATCAGAGCAGAACTGAAGGAAATAGAGACACAAAAAACCCTTCACAAAATTAATGAATCCAGGATCTGGTTTTTTGAAAGTATCAACAAAATTGATAGACGTCTAGCAAGACTAATAAAGAAAAAAAGAGAGAAGAATCAAATAGACGCAATAAAAAATGATAAAGGGGATATCACCACCGATCCCACAGAAATACAAGCTACCATCAGAGAATACTACAAACACCTCTACACAAATAAACTAGAAAATCTAGAAGAAATGGATAAATTTCTCTACACATACACTCTCCTAAGACTAAAACAGGAAGAAGTTTAATCTCTGAATAGACCAATAACAGTATCTGAAATTGTGGCAATAATCAATAGCTTACCAACCAAAAAGAATCCAGGACCAGATGGATTCACAGCCGAATTCTACCAGAGGTACAAGGAGGGACTGGTACCATTCTTTCTGAAACTAATTCAATCAATAGAAAAAGACAGAATACTCCCTACCTCATTTTATGAGGCCAGCATCATTCTGATACCAAAGCCAGGCAGAGACACAACCAAAAAACAGAATTTTAGACCAATATCCTTGAATGAACATTGATGCAAAAATCCTCAATAAAATACTGGCAAAACGAATCCAGCGGCACATCCAAAAGCTTATCCACCATGATCAAGTGGGCTTCATCCCTGGGATGCAAGGCTGGTTCAATATATGCAAATCAATAAATGTAATCCAGCATATAAACAGAGGCAAAGACAAAAACCACATGATTATCTCAATAGATGCACAAAAAGCCTTTGACAAAATTCAACAACACTTCATGCTAAAAACTCTCAATCAATTAGGAATTGACGGGACGTATCTCAAAATAATAAAAGCTATCTATGACAAAGCCACAGTCAATATCATACTGAATGGGCAAAAATTGGAAGTATTCCCTTTGAAAATTGTCACAACACAGGGATGCCCTCTCTCACCGCTCCTATTCAACATAGTGTTGGAAGTTCTGGCCAGGGCAATTAGGCAGGAGAAGGAAATAAAGGGTATTCAATTAGGAAAACAGGAAGTCAAATTGTCCCTGTTTGCAGACGACATGATTGTATATCTAGAAAACCCCATTGTCTCAGCCCAAAATCTCCTTAAGCTGATAAGCAACATTAGCAAAGTCTCAGGATATAAAATCAATGTACCAAAATCACAAGCATTCTTATACACCAACAACAGACAGAGAGCCAAATCATGAGTGAAATCCCATTCACAATTGCTTCAAAGAGAATAAAATACCTAGGAATCCAACTTACAAGGGATGTGAAGGACCTCTTCAAGGAGAACTACAAACCACTGCTTAAGGAAATAAAAGAGGATACAAACAAAGGGAAGAACATTCCATGCTCATGGGTAGGAAGAATCAATATCCTGAAAATGACCATACTGCCCAAGGTAATTTACAGATTCAATGCCATCCCCATCAAGGTACCAATGACTTTCTTCACAGAATTGGAAAAAACTACTTTAAAGTTCACATGGAACCAAAAAAGAGCCCGCATCACCAAGTAAATCCTAAGCCAAAAGAACAAAGCTGGAGTCATCACACTACCTGACTTCAAACTATACTACAAGGCTACAATAACCAAAACAGCATGGTACTGGTACCAAAACAGAGATATTGATCAATGGAACAGAACAGAGCCCTCAGAAATACGCCACATATCTACAACTATCTGATCTTTGACAAACCTGAGAAAAACAAACAAGGGGAAAGGATTCCCTATTTAATAAATGGTGCTGGGAAAACTGGCTAGCCATATATAGAAAGCTGAAACTGGATCCCTTCCTTACACCTTATACAAAAATCAATTCAAGATGGATTAAAGACTTAAACGTTTGACCTAAAACCATAAAAACCCTAGAAGAAAACCTAGCATTACCATTCAGGACATAGGCATGGGCAAGGACTTCATGTCTAAAACACCAAAAGCAATGGCAACAAAAGACAAAATTGACAAATGGGATCTCATTAAACTAAAGAGCTTCTGCACAGCAAAAGAAACTACCATCAGATTGAACAGGCAACCTACAAAATGGGAGAAAATTTTTGCCACCTACTCATCTGACAAAGGGCTAATATCCAGAATCTACAATGAACTCCAACAAATTCACAAGAAAAAAACAAACAACCCCATCAAAAAGAGGGCGAAGGACATGAACAGACACTTCTCAAAAGAAGACATTCATGCAGCCAAAAAACACATGAAAAAATGCTCATCATCACTGGCCATCAGAGAAATGCAAATCAAAACCACAGTGAGATACCATCTCACACCACTTAGAATGGCAATCATTAAAAAGTCAGGAAACAACAGGTGCTGGAGAGGAAGTGGAGAAATAGGAACACTTTTACACTGTTGGTGGGACTGTAAACTAGTTCAACCATTGTGGAAGTCAGTGTGGCGATTCCTCAGGGATCTAGAACTAGAAATACCATTTGACCCAGCCATCCCATTACTGGATATATACCCAAAGGACTATAAATCATGCTGCTATAAAGACACATGCACATGTATGTTTATTGTGGCATTATTCACAATAGCGAAGACTTGGAACCAACCCAAATGTCCAACAACGATAGACTGGATTAAGAAAATGTGGCACATATACACCATGGAATACTATGCAGCCATAAAAAAATGATGAGTTCATGTCCTTTGTAGGGACATGGATGAAATTGGAAATCATCATTCTCAGTAAACTATCTCAAGAACAAAAAAACCAAACACTGCATATTCTCACTCATAGGTGGGAATTGAACAATGAGATCACAAGGACACAGGAAGGGGAATATCACACTCTGGAGACTGTGGTGGGGTGGGGGGAGGGGGGAGGGATAGCTTTGGGAGATATACCTAATGGTAGATGACGAGTTAGTGGGTGCAGCGCATCAGCATGGCACATGTATACATATGTAACTAACCTGCACAATGTGCACTTTTACCCTAAAACTTAAAGTATAATAAAAATAAAAGTTAAAAAAAGAATAAAAAATTATTGAAAATAAAAAAAAAGAAAACTGGCACAAGACAGGGATGCCCTCTGTCACCACTCCTATTCAACATAGTGTTGGAAGTTCTGGCCAGGGCAATTAGGCAGAAGGAAATAAAGCGTGTTCAATTAGGAAAAGAGGAAGTCAAATTGTCCCTCTTTTCAGACGAACATTTCTTTTTATTAAGGAGTCTGGAAAGAGTCTTTTTGTAGTATCTGCAAGTGGATATTTGCCCATTGAGGCCTGTATTGGAAAAGGAAATATCTTCACATAAAAACTAGTCGGAAGTGATCTGAGAAACTTCTTTGTGAATTGTGCATTCATTTGACAGAGGTGAACCTTTCTTTTGATTGAACAGTTTTGAAACACTCTTTTTGTAAAATCTGCTAGTGGATATTTGTAGCGATTTGAAGTCTGTGGTGGAAAAGGAAATATCTTCACATAAATACCAGACAGAAGCATTCTGAGAAACTTCTTTGTGATATTTGCTTTCAACTCACAAAGTTGAAACTTTCTTTTGATTGAGATGTTTTGAAGTACTCTTTTTGTAAAATCTGTCGGTGGATATTTGGAGTGCTTTTTGGCCTCCAGTGGAGAAGTAAATACCTACATATAAAAACAGGACAGAAGCATTCTGAGAAACTTCTTTGTAAAATGTGCACTGAAGTCACAGAGTTGAACATTTCTTTTGATTGAGCAGTTTTGAAACACTATATTTGTAGAATGTGCAACTGGATATTTGGAGCGCTTTGCAGCCTCTAGTACAGAAGTAAATATCTTCACATAAAAAATAGACAGAAGCATTCTGAGAAACTACTTTGTGATGTGTGCATTCATCTCACAGAATTGAACCTTTGTTTTGATTTAGCGGTCTTGAAACACTCTTTTTGTAGAATTTGCAAGTGGATATTTCGAGGGCGTTGAGGCCTCTAGTGGAAAAGGAAATGTCTTCACATAAAAACTAGAACGAAGCATTCTCAGAAACTACTTCGTGACGGGTGCATTCAACTAACAGAGTTGAAACTCTCCTTTGATTGAGCAGGTTTGAAACACACTTTTTGTAGATTCTGCAAGTGAATATTTGGATCACTAAGCGGCCTCTAGTGGAAGAGGAAATATCTTCACATAAAAACTAGACAAGCATTCTGAGAAACTTCTTTATGATGTGTGCATTTACCTCACGGAGATTAACCTTTCTTTTGATTGAGCAGTTTTGAAACACTCTTTTTGTAGAAACTGCAAGTGGATATTTGCAGCGCCATGAAGCCTCTACTGGAAAAGGAAACATCTTCACATGAAAACTAGACAGAAGCATTCTGAGAAAATTTTTTATGATCTGTGCATTCATCTCACAGAATTGAAAGTTTCTTTTGATTGGGCAGTTTTGAAACACTCTTTTTGTAGATTCTGCAAGTTGATATTTGGAGCGCTTTGAGACCTATGGTGGAAAAGGAAATATCTTCACATAAAAACTACACAGAAGCATCCTGAGAAACTTCTTTGGATGTGTGCATTCAAATCACAGTGCTGAACCTTTCTTTGATTGAGCCCTTTGGAAACAGTCTTTTTCTAGTATCTGCAAATGGATATTTGGAGCGCTTTGAGGACTATAGTGGAAAAGGAAATATCTTCACATAAAACCTACAGAGAATCATTCTGAGAAATTTCTTGTGTTGTGTGCATTCAACTCACAGTGTTTAACCTCTCTTTTGATTGAGCAGTTCTGAAATACTCTTTTTGTAGAATCTGCAAAGGGATATTTGGAGCGCTTTTCGGCCTCTAGTGTAAAAGGAAATATCTTCACATAAAAGATAGACAGAATCATTCTGAGAAACGTCTTGTGATGTGTGCATTCAACTCACAGAGTTCAAATTTTCTTTTGATTGAGCAGTTTGGAGCCAGTCTTTTCGTAGGATCTATAAGTTGATATTTGGAATGCTTTGTGGCCTATATTGGAAAAGGAAATATCTTCACATAAAAACTAGACAGAAACATTCTGAGAAACTTCTTTGTGATGTATGCATTCATCTCACAGAGTTAAACACTTGCGTTGATTGAGCACTTTGGAAACAGTCTTTTTGTACAATCTGCAAGTGGATATTTGGAGCGCTTTGAGGCCTATGGTGAAAAAGGAAATATCTTCACATAAAAACTAGACAGAAGCATTCTGAGAAACTTCTTTGTGATGTGAGCATTCATCTCACAGAGTTGAACATTTCTTTTGATTGAGCAGTTTTGAAACACTCTTTTTGCAGAACCTACAAATGGATATTTGGATCGCTTTGAGTCCTATGGTGGAAAAGGAAATATCTTCACATGGAAACTAGACAGAAGGATTCTAAGAAACTTCTTTGTGATGTGTGCATTCAACTCGCAGAGTGGAACCTTTCTTTTGATCGAGCAATTTGAAAACAGACTTTTTGTAGTATCTGCAAATGGATATTGGGAGCACTTAAAGGCCTATGGTGGAAAAGGAAATATCTTCACATGGAAACCAGACAGAAGCATTTTGAGAAACTTCTTTGTGATGTGTGCATTCAACTCACAGAGTTGAACCTCTCTTTTGATTGAGCAGTTTTGAAACAACCTTTTTGTACAAAATGCAATTGGATGTTTGGAGCGCTTTGCGACCTCCAGTGGAAAAGGAAATATCTACACATAAAAAGTAGACATAAGCATTCTGAGAAACTTCTTCATGATGTGTGCATTCGTCTCTCAGAGTTGAAACTTTCTTTTGATTCAGCAGTTTTGAAACACTCTTTTTGTAGAATCTGCAAGTGGATATTTGCAGCACTTTGAGGCCTCTACTAGAACAGGAAATATCTTCACATGAAAACTTGACTGAAGCAGTCTGAGAAACTCCTTTGTGATGTATGCATTCAACTCACAGAGTTGAACCTCTGTTTTGACTGAGCAGTTTTAATACACTCTTTCTTTTTTTTTTTTTTTTTTTTTTTTTTTTTTTTTTTTTTTTTTTTTTTTGAGACGGAGTCTCGCTCTGTCGCCCAGGCTGGAGTGCAGTGGCGGGATCTCGGCTCACTGCAAGCTCCGCCTCCCGGGTTCACGCCATTCTCCTGCCTCAGCCTCCCAAGTAGCTGGGACTACAGGCGCCCGCCACTACGCCCGGCTAATTTTTTGTATTTTTAGTAGAGACGGGGTTTCACCGTTTTAGCCGGGATGGTCTCGATCTCCTGACCTCGTGATCCGCCCGCCTCGGCCTCCCAAAGTGCTGGGATTACAGGCGTGAGCCACCGCGCCCGGCCTTAATACACTCTTTCTGCAGAATCTGCAAATGGATATTTGGAACGCTTTGCAGCCTCTAGTGTAAAAGGAAATGTCTTCACATAAAAACTAGGCAGAATCATTCTGAGAAACTCCTTTGTGATGTGTGCATTCATCTCACAGAGTTGAACCTCTCTTTTGATTCAGCAGTTTTGAAAAACTCTTTTTGTATATTCTGAATGTAGATATTTGAAGCACTTTGAGGCTTAAGGTGGTAAAGGAAATATCTTCAAATAAAAACTAGACAGAAGAATTCTGAGAAACTTCTCTGTGATGTCTGCTTTCAACTCACAGACTTGAACTTCTCCCTTGATTGAGCAGTTTTGAAACTCTTTTTGTAGAATCTGCAAGTGGATATTTGGAACGCTTTGAGGCCTATAGTGGAAAAGGAAATATCTTCACATAAAAACTAGACAGACTCATTCTGAGAAACTTCTTTGTGATGTGGCATTGAACTCACAGACAAACATTTCTTTTGATCGAGCAGTTTGGAAAGTCTTTTTGTAGTATTTGCAAAAGGATATTTGGAGCGTTTTGAGGCTTATAGTATAAAAGGAAATATCTTCAAATAGAGACTAGACAGAAGCATTCTGAGAAACTTCGTTGTTATGTGTGCATTCATATTACAGAGATGAGCCTTTCTTTTGATAGAACAGTTTTGAAACACTCTTTTTGTAGAATCTGCAAGTGGATACTTGGAGCGCATTGTGGCCTGTAGTGGAAAAGGAAATATCTTCACATAAAAAATAAATAGAAGCATTCTGAAAAAATTCTTTGAGATGTGTGCACTCATCTCACACAGTTGAAACTTTCTTTTGATCGGGCAGGTTTGAAACACACTTTTGGAAAATCTGCATTTGGATATATGGAGCACATTGCGTCCTATAGTGTAAAAGGGAATATCTTCATATAAAAACTAGACAGAATCATTCTGAGAACCTTCTTTGTGATGTGTTCATTCAACCCACAGACATAAAAATTTCTTTTTATTGAGCAGTTTGCAAACAGTCTTTTTGTATTATCTTCAGGTGGATATTTGGAGCGCTTCAAGTCCTGTAGTTGAAAAGGAAATATCTTCACATAAAAACTAGACAGAAGCTTTCTGAGAAACCTCTTTGTGAAGTCTGCATTCATCCCACAGAGTTGAACCTTTCTTTTGATTGAGCAGTTTTGAACCCTCTTTTTGTAGAATCTGCAAGTGGATATTTGGAGCACTTTGTGGCTTATTTTGGAAAAGGAAATATCTTCTCATAAAAACTAGACAGAAGCATTCTGAGAAACTTCTTTGTGATGTTTGCATTCATCTCACAGAGTTGAAACTTCCTTTTGATTGAGCAGTTTTGACACACATTTTTGTAGGATCTGCAAGTGGATATATGGAGTGCTTTGCGGCCTATGTTGGAAAAGGAAATACCTTCACATAAAAACTAGACTGAAGGATTATGAGAAATTTCTTTCAATGTGTGCATTCATCTCACACAGTTGAACCTTTGTTTTGATTGAGCAGCTTGGAAACTCTCTTTTTTTAGAATCTGCAAGTGGATATTTGGAGCAATTCATGGCCTATGTTGGAAAAGGAAATATCTTCACATAAAAACTAGACAGAAGCATTCTGAGATGCTTCTTTGCGATGTGTGCATTCATCTCACGGAGTTGAACCTTTATTTTGATTGGCCACTTTAGAAACACTCTTTTTGTAGAATCTGCAAGTGGATATTTGGAGAGCTTTGTGGCCTATGGTGGAATAGGAAATATCTTCACATAAAAACGAGACAGAAGCATTCTGAGAAACTTCTTTGTGATGTGTGCATTCAACTCACAGAGTTCAAATTTTCTTTTGATTGAGCAGTTTGGAGCCAGTCTTTTCGTAGGATCTAAAAGTTGATATTTGGAATGCTTTGCAGCCTATATTGTAAAAGGAAATATCTTTACATAAAAACTAGACAGAAACATTCTGAGAAACTTCTTTGTGATGTGTGCATTCATCTCACAGAGTTGAATCTTTCTTTTGATTGAGCAGTTTGGAAAGAGTCTTTTGTAATATCTGCAAGTGTATATTTGGAGTGCTTTGAGGCCTATGGTGAAAAAGGAAATATCTTCACATAAAAACTAGACAGAAGCAATCTGAGAAATTTCTTTGTAATGTGTGTATTCATCTCAAGGAGTTGAACGTTTCTTTTGATTGAGCAGTTTCAAAAGACTCTTTTTGTAGAATCTGCAAGTAGATATTTGGAGCGCTGTGAGACCTAATGTGGAAAGAGCAATGTCTTCACGTAAGAAGCAGACAGAAGCATTCTGAGAAACTTCTTTGGGACGTGGGCAATCATCTCACAGAATTGAGCCTTTCTTTTGAAAGAGCTGCTTTTAAACACTCTTTTTGTATAATCTGCAAGGGGATATTGGCAGTGATTTGAGGCCAATGGTGGAAAAGAGAATATCTTCACATAAAAACTATATGGAAACTTTCTGAGAAACCTCTTTGTAACATGTCCTTTCATCTCACAGAGTTGAAACTTTCTGTTGAGCAGTTTGGAAACAGTCTTTTGTAGAATCTGCAAATGGATATTTGGAGCACTGTGATTTATATGGTAAAAAAGGAAATATCTTCTCATAAAAACTAGACAGAAGCATTCTGAGAAACTTCTCTGTGCTGTGTGCATTCATCTCACAGTGTTGACCCTTTGTTTTGATTAAGGAGTTTTGAAAGACTCTTTTTGTAGAATCTGCAAAGAGATATTTGTGAGCCCATTGAGGCCTATGGGGAAATAGGAAATATCTTCATATAAAAACTAGACATAATCATGCTGAGAAACTTCTTTATGATATGTGCTTTCATCTCACGGAGTTGAACCTTTCTTTTGACTGAGCAGTTTGTAAACAGTCTTTTTGTAGAATCTGAAAGTGGACATTTGGAACACTATGAGGACGGTGGTGAAAAAGAAATATCTTCACATAAAAACTAGTCAGAAGCATTGTGAGAAACTCCTTTGTGATGCGTGCATTCATATCACAGAGTTGAACCTTTCTGTTGATTGAAGAGTTTTGAAACACTCTTCTTGTAGAATCTGTAAGTGGATATTTGGAGTGCTTTGCTGCCTATGGTGAAAAAGGAAATATCTCCACATAAAAACTAGACAGAAGCATTCTTAGAAACTACTTTGTGATGTGTTCATTCATCTAAGGGATCTGAACCTTTCTTTTGAATGAGCAGTTTTGAAACACTCTTTTTGTAGAATCTGCAAGTGGATATTTCAAGTGCTTTGAGGCCAATGTGGAAAAGGAAATATCTTCACAAAAAAACTAGACAGAAGCATTTTGAGGATCTTCTTTGTGATGTGTGGATTCATCTCACAGAGTTGAGCATTTCTATTGATTGAGCAGTTTGGAAATAGTCATTTTGTAGGATCTGCAATTCGATATTTGGAGCGCTTTAGGACTAAGGTGGAAATGGAAATATCTTCTCATAAAAACTATACACAAGCATTTTGAGAAACTTCTTTGTGATGTGTGCATTCACCTGTCAGAGTTGAACATTTCTTTTGATTGAGCAGTTTGGAAACCGTCGTTTTGTAGAATCTCAAAGGGACATTTGTGACCATATTGAGGCCTATGGTGAAACAGGAAATATCAAAACATAAAAACTAGACAGAAATTTTGTGAGAAACTCCTTTGTGATATATACTTTCATCTCATAGAGTTGAAGCTTTCTTTTGATTGAGCAATTTTGAAACACACTTTTTGCAGATTATGCAATTGGATACTTGGAGTGCTTTGTGGCCTAAGGTGGAAAAGAAAATATCTTCAGATAAAAACTAGACAGAAGCATTCGAGAAACGTCTTTGTGATGCGTGCATTCATCTCACAGAGTTGAATCTTTCTTTTGATTGAGCAGTTTGGAAACAGTCTTTTGTAATATCTGCAAATGGATATTTGGAGCACTTTGAGGCCTATTTTGAAATAGGAAATATCTTCACATAAAAACTAGACAGAAGCATTCTGAGAGACTTCTTTGTGATTTGTGCATTCATCTCACAGAGTTGAAGCTTTCTTTTGATTGATCAGTCTGGAAACACTCTTTTAGTAGAATTAGCAAGTGGATATTTTGAGTGCTTTCAGGCCTATGATGGAAAGTTAAACATCTTCACAAAAAAACTAGACAAAAGCACTCTGAGAAACTTCTTTTTGATGTGTACATTCATCTCACAGAGTGGAACATATCTTTTGATTGAGTAGTTTTTCAACAGTCATTTCGTACAGTCTGCAAACGGATATTTGTGAGCCCACTGAGGCCTATGTGGTATCTGCAAAAGGATATTTGGAGTGCTTTGAGGCCTACGGTAAAAAAGGAAATATCTTAACATAAAACCTAGACAGAAACATTCTGAGAAACTTATTTGTGATGTGTGCATTCATCTCACAGAGGTGAAAATTGTTTTCGTTCAGCCGTTTGTGAAGAGTCTTTTTGTAGTATCTCCAAATGGATATTTTGAGTGCTTTGAGGCCCACGGTTAAAAAGGAAATATCTTCACATAAAACTAGACAGAAGCATTCTGAGAAATTTCTTTGTGGTGTGTGCTTTCATATAACAGAGTTGAACCTTCCTTTTGATTGAGCAGTTTGGAATCTGTCTTTTTGTACTATCTGCAAGTGGGTATTTGCAGCGATTTGATGCCTGTGGTGAAAAAGGAAATATCTTCACATTATAACTAGACAGAAGCATTCTGTGAAACTTCTTTGTGATGTGTTCATTTATCTCAAAGACTTGAACCTTACTTTTGATTGAGTGGTTTGGAATCCGTCTTTTGTAGTATCTGCAAAAGGATATTTCCAGTGCATTGATGCCTGTGGTGAAAAAGGAAATATCTTCTCATAAAAACTATACAGAAGCATTCTGAGAAACTTCTTTGTGATGTGTGCATTCATCTCACAGAATTGAAGCTTTCTTTTGATTGAGCAGTCTTGAAACACTCTTTTTGTAGAATCTGCAAGTGGATATTTTTTAGAGCTTTGAGGCCTATGGTGGAAAAGGAAATATCTTCACAAAAAAAAACTAGGCAGAAGCACTGTGAGAACTTATTTTTGATGTGTGCTTTCATCTCACAGAGTTGAAAATTTCTTTTGATTGAGCAATTTTTAAACAGTTGTTTCATACAATCTGCAAAGGGATATTTGTGAACCCACTGAGGACTATGGGGAAATAGGAAATATCTTCACATAAACAAGGAAGAAACATTGTGAGAAACTCCTTTGTGATGTGAGCTTTCATCTCACAGAGTTGAAACTTCTTTTGATTGAGCAGTTTATAAACATTCTTTTTGTAGAAACTGCAAATGGATATTTGGAGCTCTTTGAGGCCTATAGTGAAAAAGGAAATATCTTCACATAATAAGTAGACAGAAGCTTTCCGAGAAACTTATTTTTGATGTGTGCATTCATCTCACAGAGCTGAACATTTCTTTTGATTCAGCAGTTTTGAAACACTCTTTTTGTAGATTCTGCAAGTGGATATTTGGAGCGCTTTGAGGCCTATGGTGGAAAAGGAAATATCTTCACATAAAAACTAGACAAAAGCATTCTGAGAAACTTTCTGTGACGTGTGACTTGATCTCACACAGTTGAACATTACTTCTGATTGAGCAGTTTGGAAACAGTCATTTTGTAGAGTCTGCAAAGGGATATTTGTGAGCCCATTGAGGCGATGGGGAAATAGGAAATAACTTCACATAAAAACTAGACAGAAACTTTCTGAGAAACTACTTTCTGATGCGTGTTTTCATTTCACAGAGTTGGCACTTTCTTTTGATTGAGCAGTTTGGAAACACTCTTTTTGTACAATCTGCAAGTGGATATTTGGAGTGCTTTGAGGCCTATGGTGAAAAAGGAAATATCTTCACATAAAAACTAGACAGAAGCATTCTCAGAAACTTCTTTGTGATTTGTGCATTCGCCTCACAGAGTTGAACCTTTCTTTTGATTGAGCTGTTTGTAAAATGTCTTTTTGTAGAATCTGCAAATAGATATTTGGGGTGCTTTGAGGCCTGTGGTGAAAAAGGAAATTGCTTCACATAAAAACTAGACAGAAGCATTCTGAGAAACTTCTTTTTGATGTGTTCATTCATCGCACAGAGTTGAAACTTTCTTTTGATGGAGCAGTTTGGAAACAGTCTTTTTGCAGTATCTGCAGAAGGATATCTGTGCCTGGTTTAAGGACTATGGTGAAAAAGGAAATATCTTCACATAAAAACTAGACAGACACATTCTTAGGAACTTCTTTGTGATGTGTGCATTCATCTCACACAGTTGAACTTTTTATGATTGAGCAGTTTTAACACACTCTTTTTGTGGAATCTGTAAAGGGATATTTGTGAGGCCTTTGAGATCTATGGGGAAATACTAAGCATCTTCACATAAAAACTAGACAGAAACTTTCTGAGAATCTTCTTTGTGATGTGTGCTTTCATCTCACAGAGTTGAACCTTTCTTTCAATTGAGGAGTTTGGAAACAGTCTTTTGTAGAATCTGCAAGTGTATATTTGGAGTGCTTTGAGGTGTATGGTGAAAAAGGGAATATCTTCAGATAAAAACTAGACAGAAGCATTCTCAGAAACTTCTTTGTGACGTATGCATTCATCTCACAGAGTTGAACCTTTTTTTGATTGAGCAGTTCTGAAACCCTCTTTTTGTAGAATCTGCAAGTGGATATTTGGAGTGCTTTGAGACCTATGGTGGAAAAGGAAATACCTTCACATAAAAACTAGACAGAAATTTTCTGAGGAACTACTTTGTGGCATGTGCATTCATCTCAGGGAGTTGAAGCTTACTTTTGATTGAGCAGTTTGGAAACAGTCTTCTTATCAATTCTGCAAAGGGATATCTATGATCCCTTTGTGGTCTATGGTGAAAAAGGAAATGACTCCACATAAAAATTATACAGAAGTTTTCTGAGAAACTTCTTTGTGATGTGGGCATTCAACTCACAGAGAGAGATGAACTTTCTTTAGGTTGAGCAGTTTGAAAACAGTCTTTTTGTAGAATTTACAAAGGGATATATATAGTTGGTTTGAGGCCTATGGTGTAAAATAAAATATCTTCACATAAAAACTAGATATAATGTTTCTGTGAAACTTCTTTATGATGTGTGCATTCATCACACAGAGTTGAGCATCTCTTGATTGTGCAGTTTGGAAACAGTCTTTTTGGAGAATCTGTAAAGAGATATTTGTGATCCCTTTGTGGCCTATGGTGAAAAAAGAAATATCTTCACCTAAAAACTAGACAGAAGCTTTCTCAGAAACGTCTTTTTGATGTGTGCATTCGTCTCAAAGTGTTGAAACTTTCTTTTGATTGAACTGTTTGGAAACGGTCTTTTTGTAGTATCTCCAAAGGGTATATGAAGGCGGTTTTAGGCCTATGGTGAAAAAGGAAACATCTTCACATAAAAAGCAGACAGAAGCTTTCTGAGAAACTTCCTGGTGATATCTGTCATCATCACACAGAGTTGAACGTCTCTTTTGATTGAGCAGTTTGGAAACAGTCTTTTTGGACAATCTGCAAGGGGATGTTTGTGCGAGGTTTGTGGCCTGCCGTGAGAAAGGAAATATATTCATATAAAAATTAGAGAGAAGCATTCTGAAAAACTTCTTTGTGATGTGTTCATTCGTGTCACAGAGTTGAACTGTTCTTTTGATTGAGCAGTTTGGAGACAGTCTTTTTGTAGACTCCGCAAAGTGATATTTGTGAACGCTTTGAGTCATATGGTGAAAAAGGAAATATCTTCACATAAAAGCAAGACAGAAGTTTTATGAGAAAATTTTTGTGATGTGAGCATTCATCTCACGGAGTTGAAGCTTACTTTTGCTTGAGCAGTTTGGAAAGAGTCTTTTTGTATGATCTGCAATGGGATATATATAGGCGGTTTGAGGCCTATGGTGAAAAAGGAAATATCTTCACATGATAATTAGACAGAAGCCCTCTGAGAAACTTCTTTGTGATGTGTGCATTCATCTCACAGAGTTGAAACTTTCTTTTTATTGAGCAGATTGAAAACACTCTTTTTGTATAATCTGCAAAGGGATATTTGCAAGTGGTTTGAGGGCTATGGTGAAAAGGGAAATATCTGAACATAAAAGCTTTCAGAGAAACTTCTTTGTGAGGTGTTCATTCATCTCACAGAGTTGAAACTTTGCTTTGATAGAGCAGTTTGGAAACAGTCTTTTGGTGGAATCTGCAAAGGGATATTTCTAGGAGGTTTGAGGCCCATGGTGAAAAAGGAAATATATTAACATAAAAATTAGACAAAAGCTTTCTGAGAAACTTCTTTGTGATGTGTGCATTCATCTCAAAGAGTTGAACCATTCTTTTGATTGAACAGTATGGAAATGGACTTTTTCTAGTATCTGCAGTGATATTTGTGAATGCTTTGAGGGTTATGGTGAAAAAGTAAATATCTTCACATAAAAACTAGATCAAAATTTTCTGAGAAACTTCTTTGTGATGTGTGCATTCATCTTACAGACTTGAACCTTTATTTTGATTGAGCAGTATGGAAATGTTCTTTTTAGAGAATCTGCAGGGGACTATTTGTGAGTGCTTTGAGGCATATTGTGAAAAATGAAATATCTTCACATAAAAACAAGACAGAAGCTTTCTGAGAAACTTCATTGTGATGTGTGCATTCGTATCACAGATTTGAACTGTTCTTTTGATTGAGCAGTTGGGAAAAAGTCTTTTTCTGGAATCTGCAAAGTGATATATGTAGGCTGTTCTAGGCCTATTGTGAAAAAGGAAATATCTTCACATAAAAACTAGACAGAGGCTTTCTGAGAAATTCCTTTGTGATGTGTGCCTTCATCCCACAGATTTGAGCAATTCTTTTGATTGAGCAGTTGGGAAAAAGTCTTTTTCTGGAATCTGCAAAGTGATATATGTAGGCTGTTCTAGGCCTATTGTGAAAAAAGGAAATATCTTCACATAAAAAGTAGACAGGCTTTCTGAGAAATTCCTTTGTGATGTGTGCCTTCATCCCACAGATTTGAGCTATTCTTTAGATTGAGCAGTTTGGAAACAACCTTTTCTGGAATCTGCAAAGGGACATTTTTGGGCACTTTGGGGCCTATGGTGGAAAAGGAAATATCTTCATATAAAAACTAAACAGAAGCATTCTGAGAAACTTCTTTGGGTTGTGTACATTCTCCTCACAGAGTTGAAACTTAGTTTTGATTGAGCAGTTTGGAAACAGTCTTTCTGCAGAATCTGCAAAGGGATATTTGTGATCCCTTTGTGGCCAATGGTGAAAAAGGAAATGTCTTTACTTAAAAACTAGACAGAAACTTTCTGAGAAACTGCTTTGTGATGTGTGCATTCGTCTCACAGAGTTGAACCATTCTTTTGATTGAGCATGTTGGAAGCAGTCTTTTATAGAATCTGCAAACGGATATTTGATAGTGGTTTTTGGCCTATGGTGAAAAAGGAAATATTGTCACATCATAACTAGACAGAAGCTTTCTGAGAAACCTTTTTTTGAAGTGTGCATTCATCTCACAGACTTGAACCTTTCTTTTGATAGAGCAGTTTGGAAACAGTTTTTTTTGTTGAATCTACAAAGGGACATTTTTGAGTGTTTTGAGACCTACAGTGAAAAAGGAAATATCCCCAAATAAAATCTAGGCAGAAGTTTTCTGAAAAACTTCTTTGTGATGTGTGCATTCATCTCACAGAGTTGAACTTTTCTTTTCATTCAATAGCTTGAAACTAGTTTTTTTGTAGAATCGGCAAAGTGATATTTCTGAAAGCTTTGTGGCTTATGGTGGAAACGGAAATACCTTCACATAAAAACTAGACATAAGCTTTCTGAGAAACTTCTTTGTGATGTTTGCAATTCTCTCACAGTGTTGAATGTTTGTTTTGATTGGCCTGTTTGGAAACAGTCTTTTTGTAGAATGTGCAAAGGGACATTTTTGAGCCTGTTTTGAAAAAAGAAATATCTTCACATAAAAACAAGACAGAAGCTTCCTGAGGAACTTCTTTGTGATGTGTGCATTCACCTCACAGATTTGAATCTTTCTTTGGATTGAGCAGTTTGGAAACAGTCTTTTCGTAAAATCTACAAAGGAATATTTGTAGGCTGTTTGAGGCATGTGGTGAAAAAAGAAATATCTTCACCTAAAAACTAGACAGAAGCATTCTGAGAAACTTCTTTGTGATGTGTTCTTTCATCTCAAAGAGTTGAACCAATCTTTTCATTGAGCACTTTAGAATCAGTCTTTTTGTGGTATCTGCTAAGGAATATTTTGGGGCAATTTGAGGACTTTGGTGAAAAAGGAAATATCTTCCCATAAAAACTAGAAAGAACTTTTCTGAGAAACTGTTTCTGACGTGTGCATTCATCTTACAGAGGTAAAAGTTTTTTTTCATTGAGCAGTTTGAAAAATCTGTTTTGCTAGAATCTGCAAAGTGATATTTGTGAGTGTTTTGAGGGTAATGGTGAAAAAGGAAACATGGTCACATAAAAACTAGACAGAAGCTTTCATAGATATACTTCTTTGTGATGCCTGTATTCATCTCAGAGTTGAATCATTATTTTGAATGACCATTTTGGAAACAGTTTTTTTGTAAAATCTGAAAAGGAATATTTGGGAGCATGTTGAGTCCTATGGTGAAAAAGGAAATAATTTCAAATAAAAACTAGAAAGAATCTCTCTGAGAAACCGTTTGAGATGTGTGCATTGATCTTGCAGAGGTAAACATTTCTTTTCATTGAGCAGTTTGGAAACTCAATTCTTCAAGAATCGGCAAAGGGATATTTGTGAGCACTTTGAGGCCTGTGGTGGAAAAGAAAATAAAAAACTAGAGAAAAGCTTTCTGAGAAACTTCTTTGTGATATATGCATTCATCTCACAGAGGTAAATGATACTTTTCATTGAGCTGTTTGGAAATTCTGTTCTTCTAGAATCTGTAAAGAGGTGTTTTTGAGCACTATGGGTTCTATGGTGGAAAAGGAAATATCTTCACATAAAAACCAGATAGAAGCTTTCTGAGAAACTATTTTGTGATGTCTGCATTTGTCTCACAGAGTTGAACCATTCTTTTGATACAGCAGTTTGGAAGCACTGTTTTTGTAGAATCTGCAAAGGCATATTTTGGAGCTTGTTGATGCCTGTGGTGAAAAAGGAAATATCTTCACATAATAACTAGACAGGAGCTTTATGAGAATCTTCTATGTGATGTGTGCATTCTTTTCTCAGTGTTGAAACATTCTTTTGATTGAGCCATTTGGAAACAGTCTTTTTGTAAAATCTGCCAAGGGATATTTGGAAGTGCATTGAGGACTATGGTGAAAAAGGAAATATCTTCACATAAAAACTAGACAGAAGCTTTCTGAGTAACTACATTGTGATGTGTGCATTCATCTCACAGAGTTGAACCATTCTTTTGATGCAGCAGGTTGGAAACACTCTTTTTGTAGAATCTGCACAGGGATATTTTGGAGCACACTGAGGCCTATAGTGAAAACGTAAATATCTTCACATAAAAACTGCCAGGAATCTTTCTGAGAAACTCCTTTGTGAAGTGTGCATTCATCTCACAGAGGTAAAAGTTTCTTTTCATTGAGCAGTTTGGAAACTCTGTTCTTCTAGAATGATCAAAGAGATAATTCTGACTGCTTTGAGGGCTATGGTGAAAAAGGAAATATCATCATATAAAAACTAGACATAAGCTTTCTGAGAAACATCTTTGTGACTTATGCATTCATCTCACAGAGGTAAATGATATTTTTCATTGAGCAGTTTGGAAATTCTGTTCTTCTAGAATCTGCAAAGGGGTATTTGTGAGTGCTTTGAGTTCTATGGTGAAAAAGGAAATATCTTTACATAAAAACTAGACAGAAGCTTTCTGAGTAGCTACTTTGTGATGTGTGCATTCATCTCACAGAGTTGAACCATTCTTTTGATACAGCAGGTTGGAAACACTCTTTTTGTAGAATCTGCACAGGGATATTTTGGAGCGCACTGAGGCCTATAGTGAAAAAGTAAATATCTTCACATAAAAACTGTCAAGAAGCTTTCTGAGAAACTACTTTCTGAAATGTGCATTCATCTCACAGAGGTAAAACTCTCTTTTCATTGAGCAGTTTGGAAACTCTGTTCCTCTACAATCTGCAAAGGGATATTTTTGAGCACTTTCAGGCCTATGGTGAAAAAGAGAATATCTTCACATAAAAATTTGGCAGAAGATTTCTGGCAAAATTCTTCATGGTGTGTGCATTCAGCTCACAGAATTGAACAATTCTTTTGATTTAGCAGTTTGGAAACAGTCTTTTTGTAGAATCTGCAAAGGCATATTTCTGAGCCATTTGAGGACTATGGTGAAATAGGAAATATCTTCATATAAAAACTAGACAGAAGCTTTCTGGAAAAATTTTTTGTGATGCATACATTCCATCTCACAGACTTAAACCATTCTTTTCATTGACCAGCTTGGAAAGACTCTTTTTGTAGAATCTGCAAAGGGATACTTGGGAACACGTTGAGGCCTATGGTGAAAAAGGAAATATCTTCACATAAAAACTAGACAGAAGCTTTTGGAAAAACTTTTTTGTGATGTGTGCATTCATCTCACAGAGATGAACCATTCCTTTGATAGATCAGTTTTGAAACACACTTTTTATAGAATCTGCAAGTGGATATTTGGAGAGCTTTGAGGCTTATGGTGGAAAAGGAAATATCTTCACATAAAAACTACACAGAAGCATTCTGAGAAACTTCGTTGTGATGTGTGCATTCAACTCACAGAGTTGAACCTTTCTTTTGATTGAGCAATTTTGAAACACTCTTTTTGTAGAATCTGCAAGTGGATATTTGGAGCACTTTGAGGCCTGTGGTGGAAAAGGAAATATTTTCACATAAGAACTACAAAGAAGCTTTCTGAGAAACTGCTTTGTGATGCATGCATTTAACTCACAAAGGTAAAAGTTTCTTTTCATTGAGAAGTTTGGAAACTCTGTTCTTCTAGAATCTGCAAAGGGATATTTGTGAGTGCATTGAGGCCTATAGTGAAAAAGGAAATATCTTCACATATAAACTACACAGAAGAGTTATGGGAAAATTCTTTTTGATGTGTTCATTCATCTCAGGGATTTGAACCATTCTTTTGATTGAGCAATTTGGAAACATTCTTTTTGTAGAGCTTGCAAAGGGATATTTGGGAGCACACAGAGGACTTGGGTGAAAAAAGAAATATCTTCACATGAAAACTACAAAGAATCTTAGTGAGAAACGGCTTAGTGAAGTATGCATTCATCTGAGAAAGGTAAAGCTTTCTTTTCATTGAGCAGTTTGCTAACTCTGTTCTTCTAGAATCTGCAAATTGGATATTTTTGAGTGCTTTGAGGCCTATGATGAAAAACGAAATATCTTCACATAAAAATTAGGCAAAAGCTTTCTGAGAAACCTTTTTGTGATGTGTTCATTCATCTCACAGACTTGAACCATTCTTTTGATTGAGCTCTTTAGAAACAGTCTTTTTGCAGTATCTGCTAAGGAATATTTTGGGATGCATTGAAGACTTTGGTGAAAAAGGAAATATCTCCCCATAAAAACAAGAAAGAACATTTCTGAGAAACTGTTTCTGATGTGTGCATTCATCTCACAGAGGAAAACCTATGTTTTAATGAAGCAGTTTGGAAAATCTGTTCTTCTAGAATCTGCAAAGAGATATTTGTGAGCATTTTGAGGGTAGTGGTGATAAAGAAAATATGGTCACATAAAAACGAGACAGAAGCTTTCATAGAAAATTCTTTGTGATGCCTGCATTCATCTCACAGAGTTGAAACATTATTTTGAATGAGCAGTTTGGAAAGAGTCTTTTTGGAAAATCTGAAAAGGAATATTTGGGAGCAGGTTGAGGCCTATGGCAAAAAAGGAAATAATTTCACATAAAAACTAGAAAAAAATTTCTGAGAAACGGTTTGTGATGTCTGCATTGATCTCACTGTCGTAAATGATTATTTTCATACTGCAGTTTGGAAACTCTCTTCTTCTAGAATCATCAAAGGGATATTTCTGAGAGCTTTGAGGGCTGTGGTGAAAAAGGAAATATTGTCACATAAAAACTAGGCATAAGCTTTCTGAGAAACTTCTTTGCAATGTATACATTTATCTCACAGAGCTAAATAATTCTTTTCAATGAGCAGTTGGGAAATTCTGTTCTTCTAGAATCTGCGAAGGGGTATTTGTGAGCAATTTCAGTTCTATGGTGAAAAAGGAAATATCTTC
Source organism: Homo sapiens (assembly GCF_000001405.40). Lineage (NCBI taxonomy): Eukaryota > Metazoa > Chordata > Mammalia > Primates > Hominidae > Homo > Homo sapiens. Next base: position 90,289,504 of record NC_000003.12, on the reverse strand, counting down.
ACATAAAAACTAGGCAGAAGCATTCTCAGAAACTTCTTTGTGATGTGTGAATACATCTCACAGAGTTGAATCTTTTTTTTAATGGAGCAGTTTGGAAAAAGTCTTTTTGAAGAATCAACAAATGGATATTTAGAGCGCTTTGAGGCCTATGGTGAAAAAGGAAATATCTTCACATAAAAACTAGACAAGTATTCTGAGGAGAAACTTCTTCATGATGCCTGCATTCATCTCACAGAGTTGAAACTTTCTTTTGATGGAGCAGTTTGTAAACAGTCTTTCTGTACAATTTGCAAAGGGATATTTCAGAGCCGTTTAAGGCCTATGGTGAAAAAGAAGTATCCTCATATATAAAAACCAGACAGACTCATTCTGAGAAGCTTATTTGTGAAGTGTCCATTCATCCCACAGAGTTGAACCATTCTTTTGATTAAGCAGTTTGGAAACAGTCATTTTGCAGAATCTGCAATGGGATATTTGTGAGACATTTATGGCCTATGGTGAAAAAGGAAATATCTTCATATAAAAACTAGACAGAAGCATTCTGGGAAACTTCTCTGTGATGTGTGCTTTCATCTGACAGAGTTGAACCCCACTTTTGCTTGAGCAGTTTGGAAACAGTCTCTTGGTAGAATCTGCACATTGCTATTTGGAGTGCTTTGAGGCTTATGGTAAAAAAGGGAATATCTTCACATAAAAACTAGACAGAAGCATTCACAGAAATTTCTTCCTGATGTATGCATTCATCTCACAGAGTTGAAATTTTCCTTTGATTGAAGAGTTTGGAAACAGTCCTTCTGTAGAATCTAAAAAGGGATATTTGTGAGTCCATTGAGGCCTAGGGAGAAATAGGAAATATCTTCACTTAAAAACTACACAGAAGCTTTCTGAGAAACTTCTTTGTGGTTTGTGCATTGATTTCATACAGTTGAACCTTTCTGTTGATGGAGCACTTTGGAAATAGTCTTTTTGTAGAAACTGCAAATAGATATTTGGAGTGCTTTGAGACCTATGCTGAAAAAGGAAATACCTTCACATAAAACCTAGACAGAAGCATACTAAGAAACGTCTGCATACATCTCACAGTGTTGAACCTTTCTTTTGATTGTGCAGTTTGGAAACAAACTTTTGTACAATCTTCAAACGGATATTTCTGAGCCGTTTGAGGCCTATGGTGAAAAAGAAATATCTACACATAAGAACTAGACAGAAGCTTTCTGAGAAACTTCTTTGTGATGTGTGCTTTCTTCTCACAGAGTTGAACTTTTGTTTTGATTGAGCAGTTTGGAAACAGTCTTTTCACAATATCGGCATAGGGATACTTTTGAGCCCTGTATGGCCTATGGTGAAATAGGAAATATCTTCACAAAAAAAGTAGACAGAAGCTTTCTGAGAAACTCTCTTGCTATGTATGCTTTCATCTCACAGAGTTAAACCCTTGTTTTCATTGAGCAGTTTGGAAACCGTCTTTTTGTAGAATCTGCAAATGGATATTTGGAGCACATTGAGGCCTATGGTGAAAAAGGAAATATCTTCATATAAAAACTAGACAGAAGCATCTGAGAAATTTCTTTATGATGTGTGCATTCATCACACAGATTTGAACCTCTCCTTTGATAGAGCACATTTGGAACAGTCTTTTTGTAGTATCTGCAGAGGGATATTTGTGACCGGTTAAGGCCTAAGCTGGATAAGGAAATATCTTCACGTAAAAACTAGACAGAAGCATTCTGAGAAACTATTATGTGATGGGTGCATTCACCTCACAGAGCTGAACCTTTCTTTTGATGGAGCAGGTTGGAAACACTCTTTGTGTAGAATCTGCAAAGGATATTTGGAGCGCTTTGAGGCCTATGGTGAAAAAGGAAATACGTTCATATAAAAACTAGACAAAAGCATTCTGTAAAACTTCTTTTGATCTGTGAATTAATCTCAAAGAGTTGAACCTTACTTTTGAAGGAGAATTTTGAAAACAGTCTTTTTGTAATATCTGCAAATGGATATTTAGAGTGCTTTGAGGCCAATGGTGAAAAAGGAAATATCTTCACATAAAAACTAAACAGAAGCATTCTGAGAAACATGTTTCTGGTGCCTGAATTCATCTAATACAGTTAAACCTTTGTTTTGATTGAGCGGTTTGGAAAGAGTCTTTTTGTACAGTTTGCAAAGGGATATTTCCAAGCCATTTGAGGCCTATGTTTAAAAAGTAATATCTTCACATAAAAACTAGACAGAAGCATTCTGAGAAACTTCTTTGTGATGTGTGCATTTCTATCACAGAGTTGAAACTTTCCTTTGATTGATCAGTTTGGAAACAGTCTTTTTGTAGAATCTGCACAGGGATATTTGTGAGCCCTTTATGGCCTATGGTGTAAAAGTAAATATCTTCACATAAAAACTAGACAGAATCTTTCTGAGAAACTTCTTTGTGATATACGCTTTCATCTCAGAGTTGAACCTTTCTTTTGATTGAGTAGTTTGGAAACAACCTATTTGTAGAATCTGCAAATGGATATTTGATGCGCTTTGAGGCTGATGGTGACAAAGGTAATATCTTCACATGAAAACTAGACAGAAACTTCTTGTGATGTGTGCATGCATCTCAAAGAGATGAACCTTTCTTTTGTTTGAGCAATTGGGAAACAGTCTTTTTGTAGAATCTGCAAAGGGATATTTGGAGCGCTTTGAGGCCTATGGTGAAAATGGAATTATCTTCACATAAAAACTACACAGAAGCATTCTCAGAAACTTCTTTGTGATGTCTGCATTCATCTCACAGAGATGAAACTTTGTTTTGATTGAGCAGTTTGGAATCAGTCTATTCGTAAAATCTTCAAAGGGATATTTGCCAGCCATTTGAGGCCTATGGTGAAAAAAATATCTTCACATAAAATTGAGACAGAAGCATTCTGAGAAACTTCTTTGTGATCTGTGCATTCATCAGACATAGTTGAACCTTTCTTTTTATGGAGCATTTTAGAAACACTCTTTTTGTGGAATGTGCAAATGGATATTTGGAGTGCATTGAGGCCTATGGTGAAAAAGGAAATATCTCCACATAAAAACTAGACAGAAGCATTCTGAGAAACTCCTTTGTGTAAACCTTTCTTTTGAAGCAGCAGTTTGGAAACAGTCATTGTGTAGTACCTGCAGAGGGATATTTGTGACCGGTATAAGGCCTATGGTGAAAATGGAAATATCTTCACATAAAAACTAGACACAAGTATTCTGGGAAACTTCTTTGTGATGTGTGCATTCATCTCACCGAGTTGAAACTTTCTTTTGATTGAGCAGGTTGGAAACGCTCTTTTTATTGAATCTGCAAAGGGATATTTGGAGTGCTTTGAGGCCTAAGGTGAAAAAGAAGATATATTCACATAAAAATAGACAGAAGCATTTTGAGAAAGTTCATTGTGATGTGTGCATTCATCTCTCAGCTTTGAACCTTTCTTTTGATTGAGCTGTTTGGAAACAGTCTTTTTGTAGAATCTGCAAATGGATATTTGGAGCACTTTGAGGCCTATGATGAAATAGGAAATATCTTCACATAAAACTAGACAGAGGCATTCAGAGAAACTTTTTTGTGATGCCTACATTCATCTCAAAGAGTTGAAACTTTCTTTTGATTGAGCAGCTTGGAAACAGTCTTTTTCTACAATCTGTAAATGGATATTTCAGAGCCATTTGGGGCCTATGGTGAAAAAGAAATATCTACGCGTAGAAACTAGACAGAAGGATTCTGAGAAACTTCTTTGTGATGTTTGCATTCATCTCACAGTATTGAATCTTTCTTTTGATTGAGCAGTTTGGAAACAGTCTTTTCATAGAATCTGCACTGGGATGTTTGTGAGCCCTTTTTGGCCTTTGGTGATATAGGAAATATCTTCACATGAAAACTAGACAGAACATTACTGAGAAACTACTTTGTGATGCCTGCTTTCATCTCACAGAGTTGAACATTTATTTTGATTGAGCAGCTTGGAAACAGTCTTTTTGTACAGTCTGCAAATGGATATATGGAGTGCTTTGAGATCCTATGGTGAAAAAGGAAATATCTTCATATATAAAAAATACAGAATGATTCTGAGAAACTTCTTTGTGATGCCTGCATTCATCTCACAGAGTTGAACTTTTCTTTTGTTTGAGCACTTTGGAAACAGTCTTTTTCTACAATCTGCAAATGGATTATTTCTGAGCCTTTTGAGGCCTATGGTGAAAAAGAAATATCTACACATAAAAATTAGACAGAAGCATTCTGAGAAACTTCTTTTTGATGTGTGCATTCATCTCACGGTGTTGAACATTTATTTTGATTGAGAAGTTTGGAAACCGTCTTTTGGTGGAATCTGTGCAGGGTTATTTTTGAGCCCTTGGTGGCCTACGGTGAAATATGAAATAACTTCACATAAAAACTAGACAGAAGCTTTCTTAGAAATTTCTTTGTAATATATGCTTTCATCTCACAGAGTTGAGCTTTTCTTTTGATGAAGGAGTTTGGAACAGTTTTTTTTTTTTGTATCTGCAGAGGGATATTTGTGACCGGTTTAAGGCCTACGGTGAAAAAGGAAATAACTTCATATAAAAACTAGAAAGAAGCATTCTGAGAAACTTCTTTGTGATGAGTGCATTCATCTCACAGAGTTGAACATTTCTTTTGATTGAGCAGGTTGCAAATACTCTTTTTGTAGAATCTGCAAATGGATATTTGGAACACCTTGAGGCTTATGGTGAAAAAGGAAATATCTTTACATAAAAACTAGACAGAAGCATTCTCAGAAACTACTTTGTGATGTGTGCATTCATCTCACAGAGTTGAACCTTTCTTTTGATTGAGCAGTTTCAAAACAGTCTTTTTGTAGTATCTGCAGATGCATATTTGTGACTGGTTTAAGGCATATGATGAAAAAGGAAATATCTTCACATAAAAACTAGACAGAAACATACGGAGAAACATCTTTGTGATGCGTGCATTCAACTCACAGAGTTGAACCTTTCTTTTGATTCATCAGGTTTGAAACACCCTGTTTGTAGAATCTGCAAATGGATATTTGGAGCGCTTTGAGGCCTATGGTGAAAAAGGAAGTATCTTCACATAAAAACTAGGCAGAAGCATTCTGAGAAACTTCTTTGTGATATGGGTTTTCATTTCAAGGAGTTGAACCTTTCTTTTGATTGAGCAGCTTGGTAACACTCTTTTTGTAGAATCTGCAGATGTATACTTGCAGCGCTTTGAGGCCTGTGGTGAAAAAGGAAATATCTTCACATAAAAACTAGACAGAAGCATTTTGAGAAGCTTCCCTGTAACGTGTGCATTCATCTCACAGAGTTGAACCTTACTTTTGATGGCACAGTGTGGAAACATTCCTTTTGTAGTGTCTGCAGAGGGATATTTGTGATGGGTTTAAGGCTTATGGTGAGAAAGGAAATATCTTCACATAAAAACTAGATAGAAGCATTTTGACAAACTTCTTTGTGATGCCTGCATTCATCTCACAGAGTTGAACTTTCTTTTGATTGAGCAGTTTGGAAACAGTCTTTTTGTACAATTTGCAAAGGGACATTTTCGAGCTGTTTGAGGCCTATGGTGAAAAAGAAATATCTTCACATAAAAATTAGACAGAAACACTCTGAGAAACTTCTTTGTGATGTGTACATTCATCTAACAGAGTGGAATCTTTCTTTTCATTGAGCAGTTTAGAAATAGTCTTTTCGTAGAATTTGCAAAGGAATATTTCTGAGCCCCTTATGGCCTATGGTTCAATAGGAAACATCTCCACATAAAAATTAGACAAAAGCTTTCTGAAAACCCTCTTTGTGATGTGTGTTTCTTCTCAAATATTGGAACCCTTCTTTTGATTGAGCAGTTTGGAAACCATCTTTCTGCAGTATCTGCAAATGGATATTTGGAGCATTTTGAGGCATATGGTGAAAAAGGAAATATCTTCACATAAAAACTAGACAGAAGCATTCTGAGAAACTTCTTTGTGATGTGTGCATTCATCTCATAATATTGAACCATTCTTTGAATTGAGCATTTTGGAAACAGTCTTTTTGAAAAATCAGCAAAGGGATATTTCTGAGCCGTTTGAGTGCTATGGTGAAAAAGAAGTATCTTCACATAAAAACTAGACAAAAGCATTCTGAGAAACTTCTTTGTGATATGTGTTTCATCTCACAGAGTTGAAATTTTCTTTTCATTGAGCAGTTTGGAAACAGTCCTTTCATGGAATCTGCAAGGGGATATATGTGAGCCGTTTATGCCCTATAGTGAAATAGGAAGTATCCTCACATAAAAACTAGACAGAAGCATTCCGAGAAACTTCTTTGTGATGTGTGCATTCATCTCACAGAGTTGAAACTTTCTTTTGATTGAGCAGTTTGCAAACAGTCTTTTTGTAGAATCTGCAAAGGATATTTGGAGTGCTTTGAGGCCTCTGGTGAAAAAGGAAATATCTTCTCATAAAAGCTAGACAGAAGCATTCTGAGAAATTTCTTTGTGATGAGTGCCTTCATCTCACAGACTTGAACCTTTCTTTTGATTGACCAGTTCACAAACCTCTTTTTGTAGAATCTGCAAATGGATATTTGGAGTGCTTTGAGGCCTGTGGTGGAAAAGGAAATATCTTCACATAAAAACTAGACAGAAGCATTCTGAGAAACTTCTTTCTGATGTGTACATTCATCTCACAGAGTTGAACCTTTCTTTTGGTTGAGCTGTTTGCAAACAGTCATTTGTAGAATCTGTAGAGGGATATTTATGAGCGGTTTGAGGCCTATGGTGAAAAAGAAATTTCTTCACATAAAATTAGCCAGAAGCTTCTGGGAAACTTCTTTGTGATGTGTGCCATCATCTCACAGTGTTGAAGCTTTCTTTTCCTTGAGCAGTTTGGAAACAATCTTTTAGTAGGATCTGCAACGGGATATTTGTGACCCCCTTGAGGCCTATGGTGAAATAGTAAATGTCTTCAACTAAAAACCAGACAGAAGTTTTTGAGAAAACTCTTTGTGATGTATGCATTCATCTCACAGAATTGAACCTTTCTTTTCATTGAGGAATTTGGAAACAGTCTTTTAGAAATATCAGTAAATGGACATTTAGAGTGCTTTGTGGCCTATGTTGAAAAAGGGAATATATTCAAATAAAAACTAGACAGAAGCTTTCTGAGAAACATCTTTGAGAAGTGCACATTCATCTCCCAGTGTTGAAACTTTCCTTTGATTTTGCAGTTTGCAAACAGTGTTTTTTTAGTATCTGTAATGGGATATATGTTAGCCTTTTGTTGCCTGTGTTGAAAAAGGAAATATCTTCACATAAAAATAGGCAGAAGATTTCTGAGAAACTTCGTTTTGATGTGTGAATTTATGTCTCAGAGTTGAACATTTCCTTTGAGTGAGCTGTTTGGAAACAGGCTTTTTGAAGAATCCACAAAGGGATATTTGTGAGCCGTTTGAGGACTATGGTGAAAAAAGTAATATTTTCACACTAAAAATAGACAGAAGCATTTTAAGAAACTGCTTTGTGAAGTGTGCATTCATCTCACAGAGTTGAACATTTCTTTTGATGGAACAGTTTGGAAGCAGTCTTTTGTACAATCTAACAAGGGATATGTGGAGTGCTTTGTGGTCTATGGTTAAAAAGGAAATATCTTAATCCTGAGTTCTAGTTTGATTGCACTGTGGTCTGAGAGACAGTTTTTTATAATGTCTGATTTTTTACATTTGCTGAGGAGAGCTTCACTTCCAACTATCTGGCCAATTTTGGAAAAGGTGTGCTGCGGTGCTGAAAAAAATGTATATTCTCTTGACTGGGGGTAAAGAGTTCTGTAGATGTCTATTAGGTCCACTTGGTGCAGAGCTGAGTTCAATTCCTGGGTATCCTTTTTAACTTTCTGTTTCGTTGATGTCTCTAATGTTGACAGTGGGGTGTTAAAGTCTTCCATTATTATTGTGTGGGAGTCTAAGTCTCTTTTCAGGTCACTCAGGACTTCCTTAATGAATCTGGCTCCTCCTGTATTGGGTGCATTTATATTTAGGATAGTTAGATCTTCTTGCTGCACTGATCCCTTTAGCATTATGTAATGGCCTTCTTTGTCTCTTTTGATCGTGTTGGTAAACTAGAAAATCTAGAAGAAATGGATAAATTCCTCGACACATACACCCTCTCAAGACTAAACCAGGAAGAAGCTGAATCTCTGAATAGACCAATAACAGGATCTGAAATTGTGGCAATAATCAATAGCTTACCAACCAAAAAGAGTCCAGGAACAGATGGATTAACAGCGGAATTCTACCAGAGGTACAAGGAGGAACTAGTACCATTCCTTCTGAAAATATTTCAATCAATAGAAAAAGAGTGAATCCTCCCTAACTCATTTTATGAGGCCAACATCATCCTGATACCAAAGCCGGGCAGAGACACAACCAAAAAGGAGAATTTTAGACCAATATCCTTGATGAACATTGATGCAAAAATCCTCAATAAAATACTGGCAAACTGAATCCAGTAGCACATGAAAAAGTTTATCCACCAAGATCAAGTGGGCTTCATCCCTGGGATGGAAGGCTGGTTCAATATATGCAAATAAATAAATGTAATCCAGCATATAAACAGAACCAAAGAAAAAACCATGTGATTATCTCAATAGATGCAGAAAAGGCCTTTGACAAAATTCAACAACCCTTCATGCTAAAAACTCTCAATAAATTAGGTATCGATGGGAAGTATCTCAAAATAATAAGAGCTATCTATGACAAACCCACAGTCAATATCATACTGAATGGGCAAAAACTGGAAGCATTCCCTTTGAAAACGGGCACAACACAGGGATGACCTCTCTCACCACTCCTATTCAACATAGTGTTGGAAGTTCTGGCCAGGGCAATTAAGCAGTAGAAGGAAATAAAGGGTATTCAATTAGGAAAAGAGGAAGTCAAATTGTCCCTGTTTGCAGATGACATGATGGTATATCTAGAAAACCCCATTGTCTCAGCCCAAAATCTCCTTAAGCTGATATGCAACTTCAGCAAAGTCTCAGGATACAAAATCAATGTACAAAAATCACAAGCATTCTTATACACCAATAACAGATAAACAGAGAGCCAAATCATGAGTGAACTCCCATTCACAATTGCTTCAAAGAGAATAAAATACATAGGAATCCAACTTACAAAGGATGTGAAGGACCTCTTCAAGGAGAACTACAAACCACTGCTCAAGGAAATAAAAGAGGATACAAACAAATGGAAGAACATTCGATGCTCATGGGTAGGAAGAATCAATATCGTGAAAATGGCCATACTTCCCAAGGTAATTTACAGATTCAATGCCATCCCCATCAAGCTACCAATGACTTTCTTCACAGAATTGGAAAAAACTACTTTAAAGTTCATATGGAACCAAAAAGGAGCCCGCATCGCCAAGTCAATCCTAATCCAAAAGAACAAAGCTGGAGGCATCACACTACCTGAGTTTAAACTATGCTACAAGGCTACAGTAACCAAAACAGCATGGTACTGGTACCAAAACAGAGATATAAATCAATGGAACAGAACAGAGCCCTCAGAAATAATGCTGCATATCTACAACTATCTGATCTTTGACAAACCTGAGAAAAACAAGCAATGGGGAAAGGATTCCCTATTTAATAAATGGTGCTGGGAAAACTGCCTAGCCATATGTAGAATGCTGAAACTGGATCCCTTCCTTACACCTTATACAAAAATCAATTCAAGATGGATTACAGACTTAAACGTTAGACCTAAAACCATAAAAACCCTACAAGAAAACCTAGGCATTACCATTCAGGACATAGACATGGGCAAGGACTTCATGTCTAAAACACCAAAAGCAATGGCAACAAAAGCCAAAATTGACAAATGGGATCTAATTAAACTAAAGAGCTTCTGCACAGCAAAAGAAACTGCCATCAGAGTCAACAGGCAACCTACAAAATGGGAGAAAATTTTCACAACCTACTCATCTAACAAAGGGCTAATATCCAGAATCTACAATGAATACAAACAAATTTACAAGAAAAGAACAAATAACTCCATCAAAAAGTGGGCAAAGGGCATGAACAGACACTTCTCAAAAGAAGACATTCATGCAGCCAAAAAACACATGAAAAAATGCTCACCATCACTGGCCATCAGAGAAATGCAAATCAAAACCACAATGAGATACCATCTCACACCAGTTAGAATGGCAATCATTCAAAAGTCAGGAAACAACAGGTGCTGGAGAGGATGTGGAGAAATAGGAACACTTTGACACTGTTGGTGGGACTGTAAACTAGTTCAACCATTGTGGAAGTCAGTGTGACGATTCTTCAGGGATCTAGAACTAGAAATACCATTTGTCCCAGCCATCCCATTATTGGGTATATACCCAAAGGACTATAAATCATGCTGCTATAAAGACACAAGCACACGTATGTTTATTGTGGCACTATTCACAATAGCAAAGACTTGGAACCAACCCAAACGTGCAACAACGATAGACTGGATTAAGAAAATGTGGCACATATACACCATGGAATACTATGCAACCATAAAAAATGATGAGTTCATGTCCTTTGTAGGGACATGGATGAAATTGGAAATCATCATTCTCAGTAAACCATCTCAAGAACAAAAAACCAAACACCGCATATTCTCACCCATAGGTGGGAATTGAACAATGAGAACACATGAACACAGGAAGGGCAACATCACACTCTGGGGACTGTTGTGGGGTGGGCGGAGGGTGGAGGGATAGCTTTAGGAGATATACCTAATGCTAAATGAGGAGTTAATGGGTGCAGCACACCAGCATGGCACATGTATACATATTTAACTAACCTGCACATTGTGCACATGTACCCTAAAACTTAAAGTATAATAACAATAAAATAAAATTTAAAAAAAAGAAAATAAATGTGATTGAAACTGTTAAAAAAAAAAAAGGAAATATCTTCACATAAAAACTAGATGGAAACATTCTGAGAAACTTCTTTGTGATGTGTGGATTCATCTCACAGAGTTGAACCTTTCTTTCGATAGAGCAGTTGGGAAATAGTCTTTTTGTAGAATTAGCAAGGGAATATTTTGAGCACTTTGTGTCCTATGGTGCAAAAGGTACTATCTGCACAAAAAAACTAGACGGAGCCTCTCTTAGAAACTTCTTTGTGATGTGGGCATTTGTCTCACAGAGGGGAACTTTTGTTTTGACAGAGCAGTTTGGAAGCAGTCTTTTGTAGATTCTGCAAAGGGATATTTGTGAGCCCTTGGCGGCCTATGGTGAAAAAGGATATATATTCACATTAAAACTAGACAGAAGCTTTTTGAGAAACTTCTTTGTGATATGTGCATTCATCTCACAGAGTTGAACCTTCCTGTTCATTGAGCAGTTTGGAAGCAGTCTTTTTGTAGAATCTGCAAAAACATATTTGTCATGCTTTGAGGCCTAATGTGAAAAAGGAAATATCTTCACATAAAAACTAGATTTAAGGTTTCTGAGAAATGTTCTTATGATGTGTGCATTCATCTCACAGAGTTGAATCTTTCTTTTGATTGAGCAGTTTGGAAACAGTCTTTTTGTAGAATCTGCAAAGGGATATTTTGAGCTGTTTGAGGCCTACGGTGAAAAAGGAAATATCTTCCCATAAAAACTAGACAGAATCTTTCAGAGAAACTTCTTTGTGATGTGTGCATTCATCTCACAGAGTTGAAACTTTCTTTTGATTGAGCAGTTTGGAAACACTCTTTTTGTAGAGTCTCCCAAGTGGTATTTGGAGCACTTTGAGGCCTATGATGAAAAAGGAAATATCTTCACGTAAAAGGTAGACAGAAGATTTCTGAGCAACTTTTTTTTAATGTGTGCTTTCATCTCACAGAGCTGAACACTTCTGTTCATTTAGCAGTTTCAAAACAATTTTTTGTAAAATCTGCAAAGGGATATTTCAGAGCCCTTCAAGGCCCATGGTGAAAAAGGAAATATCTTAATATAAAAACTAGAAAGAAGCTTTCTGAGAAACTTTCTTGTGATGTGTGGCTTCATCTCACACAGGTGAACCTCTGTTTTTATTGAGCAGTTTGGAAACAGTCTTTTTGTAGAATATTCCAAGGGATATTTGGAGTGCTTTGAGGCCTATGTTGATGAGCTGTTTGAGGCCTATGTTGAAAAAGAAAATATCTTAACATAAAAACTAGACAGAAGTTTTCTGAGACACTTCTTTGTGATGTGAGATTTCATCTCACAGAGTTGAACTTTCTTTCGATTGAGCACTTTGGAAAGAGACTTTTTGTAGAATCTGTGAAGGTATATATGTGAGCCCTTTGAGGCCTATGGTGAAAAGGAAATATCTTCACGTAAAAATTAGACAGAAGTTTTCTGAGAAACTTCTTTGTGATGTATGCATTCATCTCAAACGGTTGAACCTTTCTTTTGATTGAACAGTTTGGAAACCGTCTTTTTGTAGAATCTACAAATGGATATTTGGAGTGCTTTGAGGACTATAGTGAAAAAGGAAATATCTTCACAAAAAAACTAGACAGAAGCATTCTGAGAAACTTCCTTGTGATGTGTGCATTCTTCTCACACAGTTGATCATTTCTTTTGATTGAGCAGTTTGGAAACAATCTTCTTGTAGAATCTGCAGAGGGATATTTGTGAGCAGTTGGAGGACTATGGTGAAAAAGGAAACATCTTCACAAAAAAACACACAGAAGCATTCTGAAAAACTTCTTTGTGATGTTTGCATTCATCTCACAGAGTTAAACCTTTTTTTAGATGGAGCAGTTTGGAAACAGTCTTTTTGTAGAATCAGCAAATGGATATTTGGAACGCTTTGTGGCCTACGTTGATAAAGGAAATATCTTCACATAACAAGTAGACCGAAGCTTTCTGAGAAACTTCTTTGTGATGTGTGGATTTATCTCACAGAGTTGAAATTTCGTTTTGATAGAGCAGTTTGGAAAGAGTTTTTTTTTTTTTTTTAGAATCTGCAAAAAGACATTTGTTGTGCATTGAGGACTACTCTGAGAATGGAAACATCTTCACATAAAAACTAGATGGAAGTTTTCTGGAAAACTTCTTTATGATGTGCGCATTTATCTCAATGAGTTCAATGGTTCTTTTGATTGAGCAGTTTGGAAACCATCTTTTTGTAGAATCTGCAAAAGGATATTCTGAGTGGTTTGAGGCCTATGTTGAAAAAGGAAATATCTTCACATAAAAACTTGGCAGAAGATTACTGAGAAACTTCTTTGTTATGCTTGCATTCATCTCACAGAGTTGTACTTTCCTGCTTATTGAGCAGTTTGGAAACAGTGTTTTAGTAGAATTTGCAAAGGGGTATTTGTGAGCCCTTTGAGGCCTATGGTGAAAAAGGATGAATCTTCACATAAAAACTAGACAGAAGCTTTTTGAGAAACTTGCTTGTGATCTGTATATTCATCTCACCAAGTTGAACCTTTCTTTTGATTGAGCAGTTTGGAAACAGTCTTTTTGTAGAATCTGCAGAGGGATATTTGTGAGCTCTTGGATTCCTATGGTGAAAAAGGAAATATCTTCACAGAAAAACTAGACAGACAGTAGCTTTCTGAGAAACTTTTTTCTAATGTCTCCATTCATCTCACAGAGTTGAATGTTTCCTTTGATTGAACAGTTTGGAAACAGTCTTTTTGAAGGATCTGCAAAGGGATATTTGAGAGCAGTGTGAGTTCTATGGTGAAAAAGGAAATATCTTCACATTAATACTAGACAGAAGCATTTTGAGGAACTTCTTTGTGATGTGTGCATTCATCTCACAGATTTGAAAAGTACTTCTGATTTATCTGTTTGGAAACAGTCTTTTTGTAGAATCTGCCAATGGATATTTGGAGCTCTGTGAGGCCTATGGTGAAAAAGGAAATATCTTCACATAAAAAGAAGAAAGAAGTTTTCTGAGAAACTTCCTTATGATATGTGCATTTTTCTCACAGAGTTGAACCTTTCTTTTGATTGACCAGTTTGGAAACACTCTTTTTGCAGAATCTGCAAAGGGATATTTGGAGTGCTTTGAGGCTCATGGTGAAAAAGGAAATATCTTCACATAAAAATTAGATGGAAATTTACTGAGAAACTTCTTTATGTTGTGTGCATTCACCGCACAGAGTTGAACCATTCTTTTGATTGAGCAGTTTGGAAACAGTCTTTTTGTAGTATCTGCAAAGGGATATATGTGAGCCCTTTGTGGCCTGTGGTGAAAAATGAAATATCTTCACATCAAAACTAGGCAGAAGCTTTCTGAGAAACTTCTTTGTGATGTGTGCATTCATCTCACAGAGTTGAACTTTGTTTTGATTGATCAGTTTTGGAAAGAGTATTTTTGTAGAATCTGCAAAGTAATCGTTTTGAGTGCTTTGAGGCCTATGGTGAAAAAAGAAATATCTTCATATGAAAAGTAGATGGAAGCTTTCTGAGAAATTTCTTTGTGATCTGCAGATTCACCTCACAAACTTGAACCTTTCTTTTGATAGAGCAATTTGGAAACAGTCTTTTTATAGAATCAGCAAAGGGATATTTGGAGCGCTTAGAGGCCTCTGGTGAAAAAGGAAATATCTTAACATAAAAACTAGACAGAATCTTTCTGAGAAACTTATTTGTGGTGTTTGCAATCATCTCACAGAGTTGAAACTTTCTTTCGATTGAGCAGTTTGGAAACAGTCTTTTTGTAGAATGTGCCAAGTGATATTTGGAACGCTTTTAGGCCTGAGGTAAAAAAGAAAATATCTTCATATAAACACTAGATGGAAGTTTTCTGAGAAACTTATTTATGATGTGTGCATTCATCTCACAGAGTTGAACATTTTTTTTGATTGAGCAGTTTTGAAACAGTCTTTTTGTAGAATCTGCAAATAGATTTTTGCATCGCATTGAGGCCTAAGGTGAAAAAGGAAATATCTTCACACAAAAACCAGACACAAGCATTCTCAGAAACTCCTTTGTGATGCCTGCATTCATGTCAAAGGTTTGAATTTTTCTTTTGATTGAGCAGTTTTTAAACAGTCTTTTTGAACCATATGCAAAGGGATAATTCTGAGCTGTTTGAAGCCTATGGTGGAAAAGAAATATCTTCACATAGAAACTAGACAGAAGCATTCTGAGAACTTCGTTGTGATGTGTGCATTAATCTCACAGAGATGAACCTTTGTTTTGGTTGAGCAGTTCGGAAAGAGTATTTTTGTAGAATCTGAAAATAGATACTTGGAGCACTTTGAGGCCTATGGTTGAAAAGGAAATATCTCTACATAAAAGCTAGAAAGAAACATTCTGAGAAACTTCTTTGTGATGCCTGCATTCATCTCACAGAATTGACCCTTCTTTGAGCAGTTTGGAAACAGTCCATTTGTATAGTCTGCAAAGGGATATTTACGGGCTGGTTGAGGCCTATGGTGAAAAAGAAATATCTTCACATAAAAACTAGGCAGAAGCATGCTGAGAAACTTCTTTGTGATATGTGAATTCATCTCACTGGGTTGAACATTTCTTTTGTTTGATCAGTTTGGAAACAGTCTTTTTGTAGAATCTACACAGCGATATTTGTGAGCCCTTTATTTCCTATGGTGAATTAGGAACTATCTTCACTTAAAAACAAGACAGAAGAATTCTGAGAAATTTCTTTGTGATGTATGCTTTCATCTCACAAAGTTGAAACTTTCTTTTGATAGAGCAGTTTGAAAACAGTCTTTTTGTAGAATCTGCAAGTGGATATTTGGAACACTTTGAGGCCTGTGGTGGAAAAGGAAATATCTTCACATAAAAACTAGACAGAAGCATTCTGAGAAACTTCTTTGTGATGTGTGCATTCGTCTTACAGAGTTGATCCTTTCTTTTGATGGAGCAGTTTGGAAACAGTCTTTTTCTAGTATATGCAGAAGAATATTTGTGACCACTTTAAGGCCTGTGGTGAAAAAGGAAATAGCTTCATATAAAAACAAGACAGAAGCATTCTGAGAAACTTCTTTCTGATGCCTGCATTCATCTCTCAGAGTTGAAGCTGTCCTTTGATTGAGCAGTTTGGAAACAGTATGTTTGTACAATCTGCAAATGGATATTTCCAAGCCGTTTGAGGCCTATGGTGAAAAAGAAATACCTTCACATAAAAACTAGACAGAAGCATTCTGCAAAACTTCTTTGTGATGTGTGCATTCATCTCACAGATTTGAAATTGTCTTTTGACTGAGCAGTTTGTAAACAGTCTTTTCGTAGAATCTGCACAGGGATATTTGTGAGCCCTTTAAGGCCTATGGTGAAATAGGAAATACTTTCAAATAAAAACTAGACAGAAGGTTTCTGAGACATTCTTTCTGATGTATGCTTTCATCTCACAGAGTTGAACCTTTCTGTTGATCGAGCAGTTTGGAAAGAATATTTTTGTAGAATCTGCACATGGATATTTGGAGCGCTTTGAGTCCTATAGTGGAAAAGGAAATATCTTCAAAGAAAAAGTAGAGAGAAGCATTCTGAGAAACTTCTTTGTGATGTGTGCATTCATCTCACGGAGTTGAACCCTTGTTTTGATAGAGTGGTTTGCAAACAGTCTTTTCATAGAATCTGCATAGAGATATTTTTGAGGCCTTTATGGCCTATGGTGAAATAGGAAATATCTTTACATAAAAACCAGATGGAAACTCTCTCAGAAACTTCTTTCTGATATATGCTTTCATCTCACAGAATTGAACATTTCTTTTGATTGAGCGGTTTGGAAACAGTCTTTTTGTAGAATCTGCAAATGGATATTTGGAGCACTTTGAGGCCTATGGTGAAAAATAAAATATCTTCCCATAAAATCTAGACAGAAGCATTCTGACAAACTTCTTTGTTATGTGTGCATTCCTCTCACAGAGTTGAACCTTTCTTTTGATTGAGCAGCCTGGAAACAATCTTTTTGTAGAACCTGCAAGTGGATATATGGAGCACTTTGAGGCCTACATTGAAAAAGGAAATATCTTCACATAAAAACTAGACAGAAGCATTCTGAGAAACTTTTTGTGATGTGTGCATTCATCTCACAGAGTTGAAACTTTCCTTTGATTGAGCAGTTTGGAAACATTCTTTTCGTAGAATCTGCACCTGGATATTTCTGAGCGCTTTGTGGCCTATGGTGAAATAGGAAATATATTCATATAAAAACTATAGAGAATCTTTCTGAGAAACTTCTTTGTGATGTATGCTTTCATCTCACAGAGTTGAAACTTTCTTTTGATTGAGCAGTTTGGAAACAGTCTTTTTGTAGAATATGCAAATGGATATTTGGAGTGCTTTGAGGTGTATGGTGAAAAAGGAAATATCTTCACATGAAAACTGAACAGAAGCATTCTGAGAAACTTCTTTGTGATATGTGCATTCATCTCACAGAATTGAACCATTCTTTTGATGGAGCACTGGGGAAACAGTCTTTTTGTAGTATCTGCAGAGGGATATTTGTGAATGGTTTAAGACCTATGGTGAAAAAGGACATATGTTCACATAAAAACTAGACAGAAACATACTGAGAAACTTCTTTGTGATGTATGCTTTCATCCCACAGAATTGAACCTTTCTTTCAATTGAGCAGTTTGGAAACAGACTTTTTGTGGAATCTGCAAAAGGATATTCGCAGCGCTGTGAAGCCTGTGGTGAAAAAGGAAATATTTTCACATAAAAACTAGACAGAAGGATTCTGAGAAACTTCTTTGTGATGCCTGCATTCATCTCACAGAGTTGAACCTTTCTTTTGATTGAGAAGTTTGGAAACTGTCTTTTTGTATAATGTACAAAGGGATATTTCTGAGCCGTTTGAGGCCCATGGTGAAAAAGACATATCTTCACATAAAAACTAGACAGAAGCATTCTGAGGAACTTCTTGGTGATGTGTGCATTCATTTCACAGAATTGACTTTCTTTTTATTGAGCAGTTTGGAAGCAGTCTTTTCATAGAATCGCACAGGGATATTTGGGAGCCCTTTAAGGCCAATGGTGAAAAAGGAAATATCTTCACATAAAAACTGAACAGAAGCATTCTGAGAAACTTCTTTGTGATGTCTGCATTCATCTCATAGAGTTGAACGTTTATTTTGATGCAGCAATTTGGAAACAGTGTTTTCATAGTATCTGCAGAGGGATATTTGGAGTGCTTTGAGGCCTATGGTGGAAAAGGAGATATCTACACATAAAAACTAGACAGATACATTCTGAGAAACTTCTTTGTGATGCCTGCATTCATCTCACAGAGTTGAACCTTTCTTTTGATTGAGCAGGTTGGAATCACTCTCTTTGTAGAATCTGCAAATCGATGTTTGGAGTGCTTTGAGGTCTATGGTGAAAAAGGAAATATCTTCACATAAAATCTAAGCAGAAGCTTTCTGAGAAACTTCTTTGGGATGCCTGCATTCATGTAACAGACTTCAACGTTTCTTTTGATTGAGCAGTTTGGAAGGAGACGTTTTGTACAATCTGCAAAGGGATATTTCCAAGCCGTTTGACACCTCTGGTGAAAAAGAAACATCTCCATGTAAAAACAATACAGAAGCATTCTGAGAAACTTCTTTGTGATGTGTACATTCATCTCACAGGGTTGAACATTTCTTTTGATTGAACAGTTTGGAAACAGTCTTTTAGTACAATCTGCAAAGGGATATTTCTGAGGCATTTGAGGCCTATGGTGAAAAAGAAATATCTTAACATAAAAACTGGACAGAAGCATTCTGAGAAACTTCTTTTTGACTTGTGCATTCATCTCAAAGAATTGAAACTTTCTTTTGTTTGAACAGTTTAGAAACAGTCTTTTCGTAGAATCTTTACAGGGATAATTCTGAGCCCTTTACGTCCTATGGTGAAATAGGAAATATCTTCACATAAAAACTAGACAGAAGCTTTCAGAGAAACTTCTTTGTGATGTATGCTTTCATCTCACAGAGTTGAACCTTTCTTTTGATTGAGCAGTTTGGAAACAGTCTTTCTGTAGAATCTGCAAATGGATATTTGGAGCACGTTGAGGCCTACGGTGAAAAGGAAATATCTTCACATAAAAACTAGACAGAAGCATTCTGAGAAGCTTCTCTGTGATGGGTGTATTCACCTCACAGAATTGAACCTTTCTTTTCATTGAGCAGTTTAGAAACACTCTTTTTGTAGAATCCGCAAATGGATATTTAGAATGCTTTGAGGCCTATGGTGAAAAAAGGAAATATATTTTCACATAAAATCTAAACAGAATCATTCTGAGAAACTTCTTTGTGATTCCTGAATTCATCTCACAGAGTTGAACCTTTCTTTTGATTGAGCAGCTTGGAAACAGTCTTTTTGTACAATCTGCAAATGGATATTTCTGAGTCGTTTTTGGCCTATGGTGAAAAAGAATTATTTACACATAAAAACTACTCAGAAGCTTTCTGAGAAACTTCTTTGTGATGTGTGCATTATTCTCACAGAGTTGAACGTTTTATTGGTTGAGCAGTTTGAAAACAGTCTTTTTATAAATTCTGCAAAGGGATATTTCTGAGCTGTTTGAGGCATATGGTGAAAAAGAAATATCTTCAGATAAATACTAGACAAAAGCTTTCTGAGAAACTTTTTGTGATGTGTTCATTCATTTCACAGAATTAAAACTTTCTTTTGATTGAGCTGTTTTGAAACAGTCTTTTTGTATAATCTGCAAAGGGATATTTGTGAGCCCTTTGAGGCCTATTGTGAAATACAAAATATCTTCACTTGAAAACTAGACAGAATCTTTCTGAGAAACTTCTTTGTGATTTATGCTTTCATCTCACAGTGTAGAACTGTTCTTTTGATTGAGCAGTTTGGAAAGAGTCTTTTTGTAGAATCTGCAAATGGATATTTGGAACATCTTGAGGCCTGTAGTGAAATAGGAAATATCTTCAGAAAAAAATAGACAAAAACTTTCTGTGAAACTTCTTTGTGATGTGTGCTTTCAGCTCACAGAACTGAAACTTTCCTTTGATTGAGCAGTTTGGAAACAGTCTTTTTGCCAAATTTGCAGAGGGATATTTGCAAACGGTTTCAGGCCTATGGTGGAAAAGGAAATATCTTCACATAAAAACAAGACAGAAGCATTCTGAGAAGCATCTTTGTGATGCATGCATTCATCGCACAGACCTGAACCTTTCTTTTGATTTTACAGATTGGAAAAAGTCTTTTTGTAGAATCTGCGAAGGGATATTTTTGAGCCCTTTGAGGCCTACAGTGAAATAGGAAATATCTTCAGATAAAAACTAGACAGAAACTTTCTGAGAAACTTCTTTGTGATGAGTGTATTCATCTCATAGTCTTGAACCTTTCTTTTGATTCAGAACTTTGGAAACAGTCTTTTTATAGAATCTGCAAATGGATATTTGGAGCACTTGAGTCTTGTTGTGAAAAAGGAAATATCTTCACATAAAAACTAGATGGAAGCTTTCTGAGAAACTTCTTTGTGATATGTGCATTCATCTCAGAGAGGTGTACCTTTCCTTTGATTGAGCAATTTGGAAAAAGTCTTTTTGTAGATTCTGCAGAGGGATATTTGTGAGCCGTTTGAGCTCTATGGTGAAAAAGGAAATATCTTCACATAAAAAGTAGACAGAAGCTTTTTGAGAAACTTTCTTGTGATGTGTGCATTCACCTAAGAGTTGAATTTTCTTTCAACTGAGCAGTTTCCAAAAAGTCTTTCCATGGAATCTGCAATGGGATATTTCTGAGCTGTTTGAGGCCTATGGTGAAAAAGAAATATCTTCAAATAAATACTATACAGAAGGATTCTGAGAAACTTCTTTGTGATATATGCATTCATCTCACAGTGTTGAAACTTTCTTTTGATTGAGCAGTTTAGAAACAGTCTTTTTGCAGAATCTGCTGAGGGATATTTGGGAGTGGTTTGAGTTTTATGGTGAAAAAGGAAATATCTTCACATAAAAACTAGACAGAAGATTTTTGATAAACTTCTTTTTGATGTGTGCTTTCATGACACAGAGATGAATCTTTTTGTGACTGAACAGCTTGGAAACAGTATTTTGTAGGATGTGCAAATGGATATTTTGGGCGCTTTGATGCCTCTGATGATGTAGGAAATATCTTCATATAAAAACTAGTCAGAAGCTTTCTGAGAAACTTCTTTGTGTTGCATGATTTTTTTTTTTATTAACATACTTTAAGTTTTAGGGTACATGTGCACAATATGCACATTAGTTACATATGTATACATGTGCCTTGCTGGTGCACTGCACCCACTAACTCGTCATCTAGCATTGGGTATATCTCCCAATGCTATCCCTTCCCCCTCCACCCACCACACAACAGTCCCCAGACTGTGATATTGCCCTTCCTGTGTCCATGTGTTCTCATTGTTCAATTCCCACCTATGAGTGAGAATATGTGGTGTTTGGTTTTTTGTTCTTGTGATAGTTTACTGAGAATGATGATTTCCAATTTCATCCATGTCCCTACAAAGGACATGAACTCATCATTTTTTATGGCTGCATAGTATTCCATGGTGTATATGTGCCACATTTTCTTAATCCAGTCTATCATTGTTGGACATTTGGGTTAGTTCCAAGTCTTTGCTATTGTGAATAATGCCACAATAAGCATACCTGTGCATGTGTCTTTACAGCAGCATGATTTATAATCCTTTGGGTATATACCCAGTAATGGGATGGCTGGGTCAAATGGTAATTCTAGTTCTACATCCCTGAGGAATTGCCACACTGATTTCCACAATGGTTGAACTAGTTTACAGTCCCACCAACAGTGTCAAAGTGTTCCTATTTCTCCACATCCTCTCCAGCACCTGTTGTTTCCTGACTTTTTAATGGTTGTCATTCTAACTGGTGTGAGATGGTATCTCACTGTGGTTTGGATTTGCATTTCTCTGATGGCCAGTGATGGTGAGCATTTTTTCATGTGTGATTTGGCGGCATAAATGTCTTCTTTTGAAAAGTGTCTGTTCATGTCCTTCGCACACTTTTTGATGGGGTTGTTTGTTTTTATTTTGTAAATTTGTTTGAGTTCATTGTAGATTCTGGATATTAGCCTTTTGTCAGATGAGTAGGTTGTGAAAATTTTCTCCCACTTTGTAGGTTGCCTGTTCAGTCTGATGGTAGTTTCTTTTGCTGTGCAGAAGCTCTTTAGTTTAATGAGATCCCATTTCTCAATTTTGTCTTTTGTTGCCATTGCTTTTGGTGTTTTAGACATGAAGTCTTTGCCCAAACCTATGTCCTGAATGGTAATGCCTAGGTTTTCTTGTAGGGTTTTTATGGTTTTAGGTATAACGTTTAAGTCTTTAATCCATCTTGAATTGATTTTTCTATAAGGTGAAAGAAAGGGATCCAGTTTCAGCATTCTACATATGGCTAGCCAGTTTTCCCAGCACCATTTATTAAATAGGGAATCCTTTCCCCATTGCTTGTTTTTCTCAGGTTTGTCAAAGATCAGATAGTTGTAGATATGCAGCGTTATTTCTGAGGCCTCTGTTCTGTTCCATTGATCTATATCTCTGTTTTGGTACCAGTACCATTCTGTTTTGGTTACTGTAGCCTTGTAGTATAGTTTGAAGTCAGGTAGTGTAATGCCTCCAGCTTTGTTCTTTTGGCTTAGGATTGACTTGGCAATGCGGGCTCTTTTTTAGTTCCAAATGAACATTAAAGTAGTTTTTTCCAATTCTGTGAAGAAAGTCATTGGTAGCTTGACGGGGATGGCATTGAATCTGTAAATTACCTTGGGCAGTATGGCCATTTTCACGATATTGATTCTTTCTACCCCTGAGCATGGAATATTCTTCCATTTTTTTGTATCCTCTTTTATTTCCTTGAGCAGTGGTTTGTAGTTCTCCTTGAATAGGTCCTTCACATCCCTTGTAAGTTGGATTCCTAGGTATTTTATTCTCTTTGAAGCAGTTGTGAATGGGAGTTCACTCATGATTTGGCTCTCTGTTTATCTGTTATTGGTGTATAAGAATGCTTGTGATTTTTGTACATAGATTTTGTATCCTGAGACTTTGCTGAATTTGCTTATCAGCTTAAGGAGATTTGGGGCTGAGACAATGGGGTTTTCTAGATATACAATCATGTCATCTGCAAACAGGGACAATTTGACTTCCTCTTTTCCTAATTGAATACCCTTTATTTCCTTCTCCTGCCTAATTGCCCTGGCCAGAACTTCCAACACTATGTTGAATAGGAGTGGTGAGAGAGGGCATCCCTGTCTTGTGCCAGTGTACCAAGGGAATGCTTCCAGTTTTTGCTCATTTAGTATGATATTGACTGTGGGTTTGTCATAGATAGCTCTTATTATTTTGAGGTAAGTCCCATCAATACCTAATTTATTCAGAGTTTTTAGCATGAAGTATTGTTGAATTTTGTCAAAGGCCTTTTCTGCATCTATTGAGACAATCATGTGGTTTTTCTCTTTGGTTCTGTTTATATGCTGGATTACATTTATTGATTTGTGTATATTAAACCAGCCTTGCATCCCAGGGATGAAGCCCACTTGATCATGGTGGATAAGCTTTCTGATGTGCTGCTGGATTTGGTTTGCCAGTATTTTATTGAGGATTTTTGCATCAAAGTTCATAAAGGATATTAGTCTAAAATTCTCTTTTTTGGTTGTGTCTCCCAGGAATTGAACTCAGCTCTGCACCAAGTGGACCTAATAGACATCTACAGAACTCTCCACCACAAATCAACAGAATATACATTTTTTTCAGCACCACACCGCACCTATTCCAAAATTGACCACATATTTGGAAGTAAAGCTCTCCTCAGCA
Source organism: Homo sapiens (assembly GCF_000001405.40). Classification (NCBI taxonomy): domain Eukaryota; kingdom Metazoa; phylum Chordata; class Mammalia; order Primates; family Hominidae; genus Homo; species Homo sapiens. The sequence continues at coordinate 90,265,745 of NC_000003.12, read as the reverse complement.
AATGTAAAGGAACAGAAATTATAACAAACTATCTCTCAGACCACAGTGCAATCAAACTAGAACTCAGCATTAAGAATCTCACTCAAAACCGCTCAACTACATGGAAACTGAACAACCTGCTCCTCAGTGACTACTGGGTACATAATGAAATGAAGGCAGAAATAAAGATGTTCTTTGAAACCAATGAGAACAAAGCCACAACATTCCAGAATCTCTGGGATGCATTCAAAGCAGTGTGTAGAGGGAAATTTATAGCACTAAATGCCCACAAGAGAAAGCAGGAAAGGTCCAAACTTCACAACCTAACATCACAATTAAAAGAACTAGAGAAGCAAGAGCAAACTCATTCAAAAGCTAGCAGAAGGCAAGAAATAACTAAAATCAGAGCAGAACTGAAGGAAATAGAGACACAAAAAACCCTTCAAAAAATTAATGAATCCAGGAGCTGGTTTTTTGAAAGGATCAACAAAATTGATAGACCGCTAGCAAGACTAATAAAGAAAAAAAGAGAGAAGAATCAAATAGACACAATAAAAAATGATAAAGGGAATATCACCACCGATCCCACATAAATACAAACTACCATCAGAGATTACTACAAACACCTCTACACAAATAAACTAGAAAATCTAGAAGAAATGGATAAATTCCTCGACACATACACCCTCCCAAGACTAAACCATGAAGAAGTTGAATCTCTGAATAGACTAATAACAGGATCTGAAATTGTGGCAATAATCAATTGCTTACCAACCAAAAAGAGGCCAGGACCAGATGGCTTCACAGCCGAATTCTACCAGAGGTACAAGGAGGAACTGGTACCATTCCTTCTGAAACTATTCCAATCAATAGAAAAAGAGGGAATCCTCCCTAACTCATTTCATGAGGCCAGCATCATCCTGATACCAAAGCGTGATTTTATCTCACAGAGTTGAACTTGTCTTTTGATTGGTAAGTTTGAAAATGGTCTTTTTGTAGAATCTGCAAATGGATATTTGGAGTGCTTTGAGGCCTATGGAGAAAAAGGGAATTTCTTCACAGAAAAACTACACAGAAGATTTCTGAGAAACTGGTTTGTAATGTGTGCTTTCATCACACAGTGTTGAACCTTTCCTTTGATTGAGCAGTTGGGAAACAGTCTTTTTGTAGTATCTGCAAATAGATAATTGGAGCGCTTTGAGGCCTATGGTGAAAAAGGAAATATCTTCACATAAAAATCAAACAGAAGCTTTCTGAGAAACATCTTTGTGATGTGTGCATTCATCTCACAGAGTTGAAACTTTCTTTTGATTGAGTAGTTTGGAAACAGTCATTTTGTAGAATTTGCAGAGGGAGATTTGTGAATGGTTTGAGGCCTGTGGTGAAAAAGGAAATGTCTTCACATAAAAACAAGACAGAATCATTCTGAGAAACATCTTTGTGTTGTGTGCATTCATCTCACAGATATGAACTTTTCTTTTGATTGAGCAGTTTGGAAACAATCTTTTTGTAGAATCTGCAAAGGGATACTTGTGAGCATATTGAGGCCTACAGTGAAATAGGAAATATCTTCAGATAAAAACTAGACAGAGACATTCTCAGAAACTTCTTTGTGATGTGTGCATCCATCTCACAGAGTTGAAACTTTCTTTAGATTGAGCAGTTTGGAAACATTATTTTTGTAGAATCTGCAATGGGATATTCGTGAGCAGCTTGAGGCCTGTGGTAAAAAAGAAATATCTGCATATAAAATCTAGACAGAAGCTTTCTGGGAAACTTCTTTGAGATGTTTGAATTCACCTCACAGATTTGAACCTTTCTTTTGGTTGAGCAGTTGGACATAGTCTTTTTGCAGAGTCTGCACAGGGATATTTGTGGGCAGTTTGATGCCTATTGTGAAAAAGGAAATATCTCCATATAAAAACTAGACAGAAGCTTTCTGAGAAACTTCTTTGTGATGTGTGCATTCATCTCGCAAAGTTCAACATTTGTTTGATAGAACAACTGGAAACAGTCTTTTTGGAGAATCTGCAAAAGGATATTTGTGAGGGCTTTGAGGCCTGTTAAAAAGGAAATATCTTCAAATAAAAACTAGACAGAGATTTCAGAGAAACTTCTTTGTGATATGTACATTCATCTCACAGAGTTAAACCTCTCTTTTGATTAATTTGGAAACAGTGATTTTGTAGAATCTACAATTTAATATTTGTGAGCAATTTGAGGCCTATGGTGAAAAATGAAATATCTTCTCATAAAAACTGGACAGAAGCATTCGAAGGAAATTCTTTGTGATGTGTGCATTCATCTCACAGAGTTAAACATTTCTTTTCCTTGAGCAGTTTGGAAAATCTTTTCTTCTAGAATCTGCAAAGGGATACTTGGGAGTGCATTGAGGCCTATGGTGAAAAAGGAAACATCTTCCCATACAAACTAGAAAGAAATTTTCTGAGAAATTGCTTTGGGATGTGTGCATTCATCTCACCGAATTGAACAATTATTTTGATTGAGTTTGGAAACACAGTGTTTGTAGAATCTGCGAAGGGCTATTTGGATTCCCAAGGATTCCTGTGGTGAAAAGGAAATACTTTCCGAGAGAAACTGGACAGACGCTTTCTGAGAAACTGCTTCATGGTGTGTGCATTCGTCTCAGAGAGTTGAACCATTCTTTTGATTGAGCAATTTGGAACCACTATTTTTGTAGAATCTGCAATGGGATATTTGGGAGCACTTTGAGGCCTATGGTGAAAAAGGAATTATCTTCACATAAAAACTAGAAAGAAGCTTTCTGAGAAACTGCTTTGTGATGTGTGCATTCTTCTAACAGAGTTGAACCATTATTTGGATTGAGCAGTTTGGAACAACTGTTTTTCTAGAGTCTGCAAAGGGATATTTTGGAGCACTTTGATTCCTTGTGCAAAAGGAAATATCCTCACATAAAAACTAGAAAGTAGCTTTCTTGCCTGGACCCTCCTCCATCTTCCACCTCATCCTTACCTGACTGATCAGTTTTGGACAACCTACGGATCTTTGGTCTTGCCCTCCTTGAACAAAGGATGGCATTAGTAGAGGCAGTGCTAGCATCACTATCATCACAGGGGCTACTAAGAAACCAATACCAATAAATTACTTTTTTGAAGGTAAGTCAATCAAATTTACACTCAAAAAATGAAGATTTACCCTTCACATGAAGAGAACATATGCAGGCTGTGAATACAATTTCAAAGAGAATTCCAGTTCATGTTTGCACAATGGTTTTATTGTTATAATTGTTCCACCTGCTTTGATCATCATTTTGAAGAAGGAGTGACTCAGGGAAGTTAAAAAAATCAAGTTGACTCAGTTGTACTTCTTATCTTGAAAGACTCATAAACTCCACATTATAACTTAAAATTTTGAATCTGAATGTAACATTTTTCAAGCAACATAGTTGGGTTTTAACAAAGACTTTTTTGAGCTGCTTCTTAATACAAAGAAGTGAAAAAAATGAGTAAGGGACAGTGTGCTAATATAAAAACAGGACAGGTTTTGGATGCTGGTTGTCTGTGTTCTCAGCTGTGGGAACTTGCTAAAATTAACTCAACTCTAAATTTTAGCTTATTCATATATGAAATGGAAAATTTTAGTCTACTTATAACAGTTATGATTCAGATTAAAGGAAATAATGTAAAACAGCATTTATGTGCTCATATGTCATGGTTATTATGGTAAATAATGGAACTTTTTAGATATTGCTGCATGTCAGCAGGGTGAATATTTTTAGGCAGAAGGACTTTGAGTCAATTGGTGAAAGTACTTCACACCCGGTGCTTATCTCATCCCACAGTCCTGTAGTTTTAATTTGGGTTCATGATGTCATGCCGGTATCTTTCTGGCAAGAAACAGTAGACTGCTTCAAAAGCCATTCTCTTAGATGGATGGGTTTATTTTGTAAAGGACAGCTAATTATTTAAGATAGTGACCTTACCCACTGCACAACCACATAATTTCTTTTACAAAAATTAAAATCAGCTCGTGGCAGTTGTGCAAGAACAGAGTATGAGCTGTGGCAGCGGCAGTCATGGGAGACCAAACATGTAGAAAGTTTCTTCTGCTCTTTGACCGAGTGTTGTTTGGCTAAAAGTAGTGCAGCCAAAACCGTAACCAAAGAAGGCATTATGCTTCCAGAAAATTCTCAGGAAAAGTATTGCAAGCAATACTGTTGGATTGGGCCCTAAAGGAAAGGGATTCAAGCAGTTAGTGTGAAAGCTGGAGATAAAGTACTTCTCTCAGAATATGGAGGCACCAAAGTAATTCTAGACCACAGCGATTATTTTTTTATTTAGAGATAGTGACATTCTTAGAAAGTAGGTAGACTGAAATAATTCACTGTTGAAATGGCATCAACATGAAGCTGCCCATTCCACTGAAGTTCTAAAATCTTACATAATATATTAATTACCATGTCTTTTATTATAAAGTAATTTTGTCTAAATTAATGACATCAGTGTCTCTATAATTTAGTTTCACTGTACTGATAAACACATTTCCAGATAAAAATATGTAAATAAAAAAATTAAATCAGGTACATCGTGGACATTTGAGTAGCAGAATACACTGCAGAAAAGAGCACTGGGCTAAGGGGATGGGTATATTTGAATTCCATTAGCACAACTTGTAGCAAATCATGTCACCTCTCTCAGCTTCAATTTCTTCAATAGGAAAATAGGGATAATAATTCTGACTTATAGTTTATTTCATTATGTGAAAATCAAATGAAATTACTAATTCATGCTTTGAACATTGTCATGTATCATACCAATTTAAAGCATTGTTGCACTGAATTAGATGAAATCCAAATTTGGTGCAAATATATTTAGACAAAATTTTTTGTTGTTGTTAGCTTAATTTTCCTGTAGGACAGAAGCGTAACAGTTTTTGTTTTTTAATATTCCTCTCAACAATGGAGACAATAAAACTTCCTGATTTTTGAAAAGCAGCAGACAATAAACAATGGATTGCAGGTCTGAGAGTTGGGATGCCTATGATCTAGCTGTAGGTTTGTTGTCTATTCACTTTGCAATTATGGAAAAATATGTTGCATGCTTTTTACCTGAGTTTTGTCGTCTCTTAAAAAATAAAGGTGGTTATGTTTACTTTTATAAACTTAAGTGGACATTCCCAAGAACTCAAAAACCTTGGGTATTCTGGGTGATTTAGACCTTTGCTTTCACAAGCATGAATACAGTATGTGTTATTACACCTGGTTTGTACCCTTTAATGGGGGCCCATACGGGGAAAGAGATGTTCTTAAAAATCACCATCAAACTCCTAATTCCAAAAGTTAATATTGTGTAAGGAATAAATGCCAAGAAGTGAATATATATGGAGCTTTATTTCCTAAGTGCATTTCACCTTGATTTTTAAAATTGAATCAGCGTATTCACCCTTCAATGAAAGTATTATCGTTTTCCCCAGAAAGAATCACATAGTTGCTGTGAAGTTCAAAAAGTCCAAATTTTTTGCTGTATTTATTACAAACCAGCATGAATAAAACTACTTCAACTAAATGAGATAATTGCCCACATCAGGCTCTTTCATTGTTGACAGGACTGTCACTGATAAGTCAATAACACACTTGGCAGATAGATAGCATGATCACAGAGTACCATCTTTTATATACACACTGCCTTGACTTAATCTCTATTTTAATGAGCATAATGATAAACATGGCAAGAGATAGGGTTATAAATCTAACCCAAACAATGTATTTATTTATCCATTACATTTAAACTTCTGCTTTGGCAAGTCAGATAAATAAAGTAATATTACTTCACTCTTGAAAGATTTTTTAGTTACTTAACTAATAAATAAGTTGAGTGCCTGTTGATTAGTCTTTTTGCTTCTTTTTTCTTCTATTAGTCAACTTTTGAGTATTTATTGCTTATTGTTTACCAGGTAATAAGAGACAAGAAAAGGGAAAGAAATTCAGACATTTGTATTACTTATTTATCTTCTTAGTGAAAGAACCATTTGTGGTTAAAATCAGGAAAAAAGTTATTTGCAGATTTTATTTTTTTTTACATTTTTTCATTAAAAAGCTATATTAACATACTAAAATAATAAACCAAAACTCGGTACTCTCCATATTTTTCTCCAAATATAATCATTGTATTAGCAGTTTGTCTTTCCAAACTCTTTTCTATGTATTTTTCCACATATTTACATATCTACTACTTTAACTGATTTATAGAGAATTATGCTATGAGTGTGGCACTTTACAACTTGCATTTTAACTTATGGTATCTTTGAGATCTTCAGTACGAGAGTGTCTTCCTTTTAGCAACTGCATATTATTCCACAGTACAAGTTTTTATAGCTTTTATTTCCATTCCCCTCCTTTTTTTTTTTTTTAAGTCAGGGTCTTGCTCTGTCACCTACACTGGAGTGCAATGGTGTGATCATAGCTGACTGTAGCCTTGACCCCTCACAGGCTCAAGTGATCCTTCTGCCTCAGCCTCCTGACTAGCTGGGACTACAGGCGTGCACCACTACACTTGGACAATTGTTAAAATTTTTTGGAAATATGGGGTCTCTCTTTGTCATCCAGGCTGGTCTTGAATTCCTTGGCTCGAGTGATCCTCTTGCCTTGGTCTCCCAAAGTGCTGGGATTACAGGCATGAGCTACCGTGCCTGATCCTGTGCTCCTCTTAATAGATATTTAAGTCATTTTTAATTTTTTGATCTCACAAACAGTCTTTCAATAAATAATGCTATTTTTTCCAGCACATGGGCATATATGTACGACATACTTAGAAGCAGAGTTGTTGAGATGAAGAGTATATGTGCTTGAAATTTTACCAAAATACCTTCAAATAAAACCTGCCAGTTTATGCTCCACTACCAGTGTACAAGAATACATGTTTTCCCTTACTCTCACCAATAATTGATATTATCATTCTTTTAAAGTTTTGCCAGTCTAATATGCAAAAATATATTTTTTAAAATAGTTTGATTTGAACACTTTATAATGTTTATTGCCCATTTATTCTCTGTCATGATGGTTTATAGGATTGTTTATATTGTTTTCTTTATAGTTTTTTTATATTTTAGAAATGATTCTATATACAACCATACATGCATTTCTGTATTGGTCGGCTTATCTGGATGCTATTTTTTCTATTCTCTATGCTGTAAGTATTTTCCTCCAGTCTGTTGCTTGATATTGAACTTTGTTATGTTATTTTTGTTGTTGCTGTTCAACAACAATATCCACAGAGATCTTAAAGGTTTTTCATTAAAACTGAGAAAGTTTATTACTCTTGCTTTAAAGATGGTATGGCTTTTTTTTTTTTTTTTTTTTTTTTTTTTTTTTTCTGAGACAGAGTCTTGTTCTATTGCCCAGGCTGGAGTGCAGTGGCGCAATCTCAGCTCATTGAAACCTCTGGCTCCCTGGTTCAAACGATTCTCGTGTCTCAGTTTCCCAAATAGATGGGATTACAGGCATGTTCCACCAGGCCTGGCTAAGACTGCGGCTTTTGACATACACATTTCATCATTTTTTTTTTTTTTCAGTTTTTTTTTTTTTTTTTTTTTTTTTTTAGAGTGAGGGTCTTACTGGCTGGAGTGAAGTGGTATGATCATAGCTCACTATAACCTTGAACTCCTGCACTCAAGTGGCACTCCTGCCTTAGCCCCCCAGGTAGCAAGGACTACAAGTGCATACCACCATGCCCAATTAATATTTTTTATGTGGTGGCACACTCCGGTAATCCCAGATATTCAGGAGGCTGATGCAGGAGAATCGCTTAAATCTGGCAGACAGAGGTTGCAGTGAGCCGAGATCGTGCCACTGCACTCCAGCCTGGGTGACAGCAAGACTCCTTCTCAAAAAAAATAAAAAATAAAAAATATATATATGTGTGTTTGTTTGTTTTTTGTAGAAATAGGGTCTCGCTAATTTGCCCAGGCTGGGTTTGAACTCCTGGGTTCAGGTGGACCTCCCGCCTCAGCCTCCCAAAGTGCTGGGATTACGAAGGTGAGCCACCACACCTGGCCTCAGTATGTTTTCTCCGATGTAGGCATAATGAAGGAAATATTGAATATTATTTGGTGTGTTTAACCTCAAGTATAAACCTGAATAATTAGTGTAGACCATCATACAAGGGCTACAGCTGCACACCAAACCTGCTCTGTGAATTGTTGTTAACCAACAAGCTTCTATATCTGCGTTTTTTTCTCAGTTCGATCATACTGATTTTAAATGTCAAACAATTCATAGACAGAAAATGATTTTAACTATTATTGTTTAATAAAACAATATATTTTCGATGGAAAAATGATTAATTCATATAAACTTATTTTTTCCTTCACTTTTGTCAAAGCAACAGGCTTCACAAGTCCTGTTTAGGAAGTGTCGTGCAAGTTCTTTACTTGAAGAAACCAAACAGGGTAATCTTGAAAGAGAATGCATCGAAGAACTGTGCAATAAAGAAGCAGCCAGGGAGGTCTTTGAAAATGACCCTGAAATGGTAAGCATTTATGGAAACTATCAAGTTCACACATCTAGACATACAACTACAGACTGAACATTTTCAGCCTATACTTCCTTCTGTTCCATCTTAAAGTCAATAATTTTGTGTATCACCTTCCACATGTAACCACTTCCATTTCAGGAGGAACTACCTTCAAAGGAAAGTGGGCTTGTTAGGCAGACATGATCACCAATAACAGCTTGTCCTGACTAAACTATAGTTCAGTTACACCTCATTATCAGCAAATAGTATTGACCTTATGGTTTGCAAATATTTTCTTCTAACTAGAATTTGATAGCGTTAGAGGGAGGGGAGAGGATATCTGAAGTATTAACTTTGTGTGTGTGTGTGTGTGTGTGTGTGTGTGTGTGTGTGTGTGTGTGCATGCTAGTTTGGATTGTTATCACAATGCTTCATTAAATTTCTACATTGGCATTTTTTTTAATTTTTATTTTTTGAAGCAAAGTCTCTTTCTGTTGCCCAGGATAGAGTTCAGTGGTGCAATCTCTGCTCACTGCAGCCTCCACCTCCTGGGTTCAAGAGATTCTCATGCCTCAGCCACCTGAGTAGGTGGAATTAGAGGTGTGTGCCACCATGCCTGGCTAATTTTTGTATTTTTAGTAGAGACGGGGTTTTGCCATGTTGTCCAGGCAAGTCTCAAACTCCTGGGCTTAAGCAATCCACCTGCCTTGGCCTCCCCAAGTGCTGAGATTACAGGCATAAGCCACTACAACCGGCCTACTGTTACTTTACATGAAAGATTTTAAGTCATGATTGTAGGTATCATCTAATATTGAAATTTTAAAATAGATTTTAAATAGACCTCAAAGTAGAGAGAAAAGTGTAATAAATTTCAGTATACAAACTCCCCCACCCCTTTAATAATGGTCAACACTCTGCCATTCTTGTTGTACCTATTTTTTACCCCATCCATTCTAATTTTTGTTTTGGTATTCTGGAATATTGTAAGGCATGCCTGTCTGCCCAAGATACCATATTAGTACATCACTTATTAACATTGAGTGTGTATTTCTAGCATAGTAGATATATTCTATCAGCTTACCCTCTAAGCAGCAAAAGCCCAGTGAGGGAGAAGACCTAGATGCAGAGGAGGAGAGATAATGAGGAAGGAAAACTCATTTGTGCACTTCCTCCCTTCCACTAGTTCTATCATTGGTCTCATTGACAGAATAGAAAAAAGTGACAGAAAGAGCAAGACAGAAAGAGGATAAATGAAAAAAAAAAAGTTTTTTTTTTTTTTTTTAAGACAGGGTCTTGCTCTGTCGCCCAGGCTAGAGTGCAGTGGCATGATCATGGTTCACCGCAGCCCCGCCCTCCAGCTCAGGCAATCCTCCCATCTCAGCCTCCTATGTCTCTGAGACTACAGGTGTGCAGCCCCACACCTGGCTAATTTTGGTATTTTTTGTAGAGAGGGGGTTTTGCCACGTTGCCCAGGCTTGGCTCAAGCAATCTGCCCACCTTAGTCTCCCAAAGTGCTAGGATTTCACGTGTGACCACAGTGACCCCCCTGCCCCACCCTCACCAAACATTTGTTACTGTGTTATGATTCTCATGATCACAAGTGTGATCATTTTCGACCCTAGCCAACCACTCCCTGTCCACATCCCTAATACCATAGTCCACATTTCCAGTCCCTACAGTACTACTTATGCCTCAACATCTCTAATATATTCCTTTGATGGTCGCAACATCACCTTTGAATCCCATCTATTGTGTAGGTTTATATGTGAGAGGAGGTAAGAATGAGGCCTTTGGCTCAGTTCTGGATGAGTTTATGTTCTGTACTTACTAAGTGGTAACACTGAATATGTCTTTGTGCAGAAATTCTGGTTTCTCATGAGGTATTCTTGTGCTGTTAATGGAACACATCATTAGATATATTATGGCTTAAGAATGCTTTCGTAAACCAGCCTGAGAACTTTACTATCAGAAATGTTTAACATTTTTCTCCCTTTAAGAAAGCACATTCTTTACTTCAAATAACTGATCGACAGAAAAACTTTTGGTACACAACCAATTTATAAGTAACATATTACATGTACATAAGATGTACAAGAGAAATGTCTACTTTAATTCACTTCAAAGTATGTCACTGTTAGCTGGGCACCTTGGCTCACACTTGTAATCCTAGCACTTAGGGAGGCCAAGGCAGTAGGATCGCTTGAGCCCAGGAGTTTGAGGCCTAGGCAACATAGTGAGACCCCATCTCTACAAAAAAATTATTAACAACAACAAAAAATCAGCTCTGCATGGTGGCCTGTACCTGTAGTTCCAGCTACTTAGAGGGCTGAGATGGGAGGATTACTTGAGCCCAGGAGGTTGAGGCTTCGGTGAGTCATGGTCATGCCACTGCACTCTAGCATGGGTGACACAGGGAAACCTCGTCTCAAAAAATAAATAAATAAAAAATAAAGTATGTTACTGTGATTCAACATTGAATCTGGTGTAGGTGATCGTTATGACATAAAATGTGTCAAATGGTTATCTAATCATTATGGGAAAATTAAAGGATGTACAAAAAAGGGCATGTATAATTATATTTACCATCTTAAATAGAGCTTGTTTTCAGATTAGAAACTTTTGAAACATGATTAACTGATCAATATTTCTTTAAGCCTAAGTATCTTACTGGTTTAATTTTATTGTTTTCTCTTGGTATATTTTGCTATATAAAAATTATAATGTGAAAATGATGGTTATATATAATTTGTTTGCATATTTAATATAAAAACATTATAAAATTTTTAACTCTATAATGAAATTTAGATTTGCTAAGATGTATGTTTTCTTTTTCTTCTTTCTAGGATTATTTTTATCCAAAATACTTAGGTAAGTTCAAAACATCTCAGTTATATAATCTTAGAAATGGAAGGGAACTTAGATATGTTCCTGTTTAACTCTCCACCTATCTATTCCATCCAATGTAATTTCATTATCCTTGGGAGTGAGGTTTCATTTTATATGCAATTTTGCTGTCTTTATATTTAAGACAATGTTGAGAGATTTGGAACGGTTTTTTAATTACCATGTGGCATTTTAAATTTTAGTGTTTTTCTTTTTCATGTCTTTCTCATGAAGCTCTTGGGCTGATGCTCAGTTATACTGAGGTGCTAGACATAGTCTATGAGCATATGCGTTTTCATGGGTTAACTTTTTTTCTTTTTTGAGACAGGACCTTGCTGTGTCACCCAGGCTGGAGTGCGGTGGCCTACTCTCGGCTCACTGAAATTTCTGCCTCCCTGGGTTCAAGTGATTCTTGTGCCTCAGCCTCCCAAGTAGCTGGGATTACAGGCATGTGCCACCACACCCAGCTAATTTTTTTATTTTTATTAAAGATGGGGTTTTGCCATATTGGCCAGGGTAGTCTTGAAATCCTGGCCTCAAGTGTCCACCCTCCTCAGCCTCCCAAAATGCTAGGATTACAGGCATGACCCACCCTGCCCAGCCTTAGCTGGTGTATTTTAAAAGGGCAGTGGGATATGGATATACATCCATGAAAAAGACGTTTTATTTTGTAAAGTTACATGTTACTCCTCACTTTTCAAAATGAAACCCAAGAATTTGTACTATTAAAGTGTAGAAAAGAAAGTATATCAAGACTATTTCAGCTTTTTAATTTTAGATAAAAATGTAAATATTTTATAATAAAAATAAATAGACAATATTTGGCTGTTAAATGTTATGTGTGCATTAAAAAATACGGTGTTAACTCTTGCTTCTTATGGCCATGTAATGAGGCTGCATTTTTGCATGCACACTACTGTAGAGGATACATTCTTTTGATCAGAGTACATTTGGATAAAGATAAATACCTTGTTAATACAGCATTATGTGTTCTGGGGAAGTTCCTTAGATAAAGTATGTTTCTTTTATCCTCGTATCTCTCTTAACTTCCGCTTTTCTGGCCCCACCCAACTCTTTCTTCTCTTTGCCTATCTCATTTGGCAACATAGTAAAAAAAACCAAAGTATAAAATAAAACAAACTAAAACAGAAACACAAGATGTGGGCTCCAGCCTCAGACCTAAAAATTTTTAGCTGTGTCAGGTTAAACAAGTTGTTTAGCTTTCCAGGTTCTGTAGTTTTAAGTGTGCACTGTAACTATATTTTCTAACTTCAGAGCTTTTAAATCACCAAATAAATCAATGTATATAAATAACTTACTGTGTCAAAATTTCTTCAAATGTATTCTTGTTTAATCAACTCATCATGTGAAACAAAAAATATGCTTTTTATTAGGATTTTTTTAAATTTAAATTTCATATTTTGGTCTTTATTTGTATATAGACATGTGTGGTGAATTCCACTGTTAAAAACAATTTTTAAAAATGTCCTGCCTAAGTTACACTTTTTTTATTATTTGGTGTGTGTATTCTATAGGCCAATGGCTCTAATTTGAAAAGCAAAACAAAACAATCCTTTCCCTGGTAAATCTAACAGTAGTTTTACTAACTACAACAGCTCATACAGGAAGGTCCCTGTAGTGAGATAAAGTCACCAAAGAAATTAAAGAATTGCAACCCATATATTTGGGGCAATATTTGGACTTTGTTTTCAGGGGCTAATAAAGCACTTCAATTGGCCTACATATTCCATGTACTATCTTGAAAACATGCGATTTGGAAATAAGTACTCTGGGTTTCATTATAGCTTTTAAATTGTGTTCTTCTCTTTTGTAAGAAGTAGAATAAGTAACTACCATTTCCATAGGCCTAGTATCACCTAATAGAGTGGGTGTTTCTATTAAAGAGAGAGAAACTTTCTGGGAAGAATGGTGAACTCTGAGCCTAAATATAAAGATTAGAAATCATTTTTTGATGTGAGCTGGCAAAAAATAAAATAAGGAAAAAACCTGAAAAATAAAAAATAAAGAAATTATTTTTAGTTTCTAAAATAAGTTGGTGAATTACCTCAGAATGCTGACTCCCTCCCTTCAAATCTTCTCTAAAGAAACAATAAGATTCCAAGCACTAATAATAACAAAATAAAATGACAACGAGAAGTTTAAGAAATGCCTGGGTAGGCGAAAAGCTGGCCTGACCTGCTGGTATGTGTGGTGGGGCATTGGGTTCTAACTAACAAGGCAGTAGTAACAGAACAGATTTGACAATTTAAAAAATGACCTGAACTTTCCAATTGAGAAAACAAACACAAAAAAATACAATAGAGCAAACCCTGAGTAACAAGAAGTTTTAAAATACCAAAAAAAGAGATAGAAATAAGTGAAACAGAAAAACAAAAGTGAGTATTAACAAAAGCAAATTCTCATTCTTCGAAAAGGTTAGTAAGTGAGACTGACATCTGGCAAGAATAATCAAGGAAAAACAAAAAGGAGAAAGAGGAAATGCCAATACATAGAGTACAACATAGAAAGGGAAAATATTCTAAACTCAACACAGATTAAAAATATTATTATAAAATATTACAAACAGCTGAATCAAATACTTTTGGAAACCTAAATAAAATGGATGTATTCCTAGAAAAACATAAAATATCTGTAATTTCACAGGAAGCGATAGAGAACTCAGTTATACAAACAAGTATTAAACAAGTTAAAACCGCAGCCAAAGCCCTCTTCTTCCTATTTCTCCGGAAACCCAGATCTAGATGGTTTTACAAATGAACCCTTCCAAATTTTAAGAAATTATTAATGTTTCCTGTATTAAGATATTGTCCTTTAAAAATGAGCTTATTCTAAGAGGCTTGTATAATCCTGACTCCAAAATCAAATAAAGACAACATTTAGTAAACTGATTTTAAAATTTAAGTGAGGGAATAAAAGAAAAGAAAAATAGCATTCCTTTTGATTTCTGAATTAATTCTAAATAAAATGATATTCAGTCCGATCTTAAGTGTGTTAAAAATAATATCATGATCAAGTAGAATTATTCCAGAAATTTAAAGATGATTTAACATGAGGAAATCAGCTGGGTGCAGTGGCTTATGCCTGTAATCCCAGCCACTCAAGAGGCTGAAGTGGGAGGATCACTTGAGGCCAGGAGTTTGATACCAGCCTGGATAACATAGTAAGACCCCACCCCTGAAAGTATATTATTACCTCAGTTCATACAGAAAAAGCAGTTGATAGAGATCACTAATTAATTATGATAAAAGCTTTTCTCAAACTAAGAATATAAGAAAAGGCTCTGAGGTTGATAAAGGTTAAATATAGAATAACCATGTAATTAATCTTCCAAATTTTCACACTTCAGTTCAGGATTAATAATGCACAAGGTAATGTCAGCTAGAACAAGAATAAGATAGGGTTGTTTTGAGCAAATTAGCATGAGAAAGGAGGGAGTGAGGGAGAGAGGGAGGGAGGGACAGAAAGAGAAAGAGAGGGCAAAGAAAAAAGAAAAAGAAAGTGAACAAAATCTGCAGTAAACATTATACCTAATGGATAAAATTTAGATATAGTTTCTTTATGGTTGAGAACAAAAAGAAAAGTACTGGAGGTTACATTCAATGCAATAAGGAAAGAAAAATAGGGATTTTATAGATCATAAGCTATAATATATTCCTGTCATTACTTTTAATTGATATAATACTGGAAAAAAATAGAATCCATAGACAAAATATAAGAGTACATAAAAGATTCAGATAATTCTATGACTCTCCTATAAAAATCCATAGTAGTTCTTTATGCAAGCAATAGTCTAGTAGAAATTAAAAAGATGATGCCATTCATAATAGCAGCAAGTCCCATAAAATATCTAGAAATATCTTAAGAACACATAAAAACCCTATGGAGAAAATGTTAATACTCAAATTGAAGACATAGAAAATGAATTAAAACCATGGAAAGATATTTCATGATGTTGAATTGAGTGATGCTATAAAGTGATTAAATTGATTTTATTTTATCTTATTATATTTTATATTTTTAGAGATGGGGTCTCACTATGTTGCCCACGCTGGTCTCAAACTCCTGGGCTCAAGCAATCCTCCGGCCAGCCTTCCCAAAGTGCTGGGATTATAGGTGTGAGCTACTATGTGTGGCCATCCTCAAATTTATATATTCAGAATATGTTTAAAAAAATATTTTTGAGAAACTCAGTAAACTCATTTTAAAATTTAAGTGAGGGACTAAAAATCCACACATGTCTAAAATATAAAAGAGAGAAATACCTTATCAAATACTAATAATACAAAGCTATAGAAATAAAACTATATGGTATTTTCAGAACATGAAACTGAACAGAAAGTTCAGAGAAAGACTCATATCTATGACAACCTAATATTTGATAAAGATGATACTGTAAGTCACTGTGGATTATTTAAAGATGGTATTGCGAAGAGTGGCCAGCTATTAGCAGACAAATAAATGTGGGTTTCTAATTACCACCAAGTGTAAAGGTGAATTCTAGATGGAATAAAGACAAAAATGTTAAAATAAAACTATGAAATTAAAGAAACAATATGGGAGAATATCTTTGTGACTGATGGCATGGGGGAAAATTTTAAATTCACAAACTGTAAGGTGAAATAATAAATTGGATTATAACAAAATTAAGAATTTATCTTACAAGAGAGACATGAATAGTAAGATTAACAGACAAATGACAGATCTGTCTCTGTCAAATAAATATCAAAAATATAAATATCAAGAGATGATATTTATAAATGTTTAATTTTTTTCAAATCCGCAGGAAAAACAAATAAGGATCAATAGAAAAATGGTAAAAAAATAGGGAAAATTTTCAAAGAAGAAAACTTTCAGATTTGGAAAATGACATGAAAATATGCTCCATCTCCTTAGAAATCAGAAAAACAATGAGATATTACTTTATTACCTATTAGTCTGCCAAAAATTAGAAAGCAAGGATGTAGAAATCCTTATACTCCACTGGTGAGAACGTACCTCTGCAGAGCCATTAAGTACATTCCTATTTAATGATCACACAATTCCACCGCTGGGTATCTATTCCAAAGAAATTGTTATGCAGGTACTAAGGAGACATACATGAGGATGTATTTTCCACCTTCTTGTAGCGGTAGAAATTTGGAGGTAATTTGAGTGTCTTATCATGGGTAGAGATAATTATAAAGTGGTGGTTGCATATTGTGGTGTAACGCTTAGTGGTTAGTAGCAACGAATTTTATGTAGCAGCATGGATTGATTATAAAAACCAAGTTCTGAGAAAAAATATTAGAGGATGTGATATATAACATAAAACCATTTACACACATTAAAAAAATATTGACATGAAATTGTAAATATATATTTTCAAGAACACTTGCAAATTTTAAAAATACACAAAACCACTGGGCATGATGTCTCATGCCTGTAATTCCAACACTTTGGAAGGCTGAGGAGGATGGATCACTTGAGGTTAGGAGTTCGAGACCAGCCTGAGCAGCATGGTGAGACCCCATCTCTAGTAAAAACATAAAGATTAGCCAGGAAGAAAGAAGTGGTGGCGAGGCCTGTAATCCCAGCTACTGGGGAGGCTGAGGGATGAGAATCACTTGAACCCAGGAGGTGGAGTTTGCAGTGAGCCAAGATCGTGCCACTGCACTCCAGCCTGGGCGACAGAGACTCTGTCTCAAAGAAAAAAACAAAGAAACAAAAAACAAAACAAAACAAACAAACAAACAAAAAGACAAAAACCACATAACCCATTAGAATGACTGCCTAAAGGGTGAATGAAAGTGGAAATGGAGGAAATAGAGATAGAAAGGAATATATATGTATTTTTTGAAAGCAAGTGATGGGCCTTTCAAAGACCAGCAATCATAATATACTGTCAAAGGGGTGGGGTATGAATAACTCAGCCTTGTGCTCCTCCAGTCAAAACAAGCAAACATTCAGCCTTTTATGTGATGCTTCTTCTGTGACTTAAAGACAGAGGAGTATAAAGTAGTTTCTTGGAGAAGTAAAAATTTTACCTGACTCTTGATCCATTATAATTCCAATACAACCTTTGTCTAGGAGTCAGTGGCTGTTTGAACTATTTTTTAGAATTGACAAATCAAGATAGCTAGGATAGTGCTGCCTATAGAAAGTGGCAAAAGGAAACCAGTTTGATTGTTAATAAAACTAATGGTGAAAAATACAAGTAAAGGTACATGTAGCAAGATCTTTTCCTAAGAGGCTATGCCTTGACCACCAGAAACTCTCTGGAAAGGGTCTGTTTCTTAGCCTTTCTCTCATATGGTCCTAATTTCTGTTTTTAATCCCTTTTCTTGTGGGAGCTTCTGCATCAGTTTACAGAAGCAGAGACAATCTCCCTCCAGCTTTCACCTTCCTGTTTACCCTCCTCAATTTTTACTATTCCTGTTGTGTGGTAAGAAAGAGAAGTGGGAATATGAGGGTTCTGTATTGCACTGCTTTGGAGTAGCAAAGCAAATGGCTCTTCACAGTTTAATTCTGAAAGCACTTTTCCATGAAAGTATTATCATGAATATTAATGTAGGCTTCTATATAATGTGCCTTATGTGTTTAAGCTAATGTAGTCTGGCCTGGGGGTTTAAACCCATATGAAACATTTCAACTGGGTCTCCAGCCTCAGAGCTTTCAAATTTTGGCTGTTATTCACTGTAAAATTTGCCAGAGATGCAAAATGAAGCTTCTCAAAAACGATTCTAATGAAGCATTCACACTAGAATAAATGAAGTCTGAGAGTAGATGATTCAAGAGGAAGGACACATGAACCAAAGATAAGACTACTCGATACCTAAAACTACTTAGATTTTACTGGGGCTGAGTTTGGCTCCCTTCCCCTCACTATCTCTTGTACCCTTTTGCCTTACTACCTTCTCTCATGGGATGATGCAGTAAGAAGGCCCTTACCAGATGATTAGCACCTTAATATTGGACTTCCCAGCCTCCAGAACTGTAAAAAATATATTTTTTTTTATAAATTACTGAGTCTGTGCTATTCTGTTATAGCAACACAAAAAGGGCTAAGACAAAACATTGGTGCCAGACATTGGGTTGCTGCTATAACAAATATCTGAAAATATGGAAGCAGTTTTGGAAATGGGTAATGGCTAAAGGCTGGAAGAATCTGGAGGAGCAGGCTAGGAAAAGCCTAGATTGCTGTGAATGGAACATTGAGGATGATTCTGGTGAGGGGGTCAGAAAAAGAGAAGACATGCAGGAAAAGAAAGTAACTTCTTAGAGATTACTTAAGTGTTGTGATTAGACTGTTGGTAGAAATATGAATGCTAAAGGCCATTCTGATGAGATCCTAGATGGAAATGAGAAACAAAGCACTGGAAACTAAAGACCAACATTGTTACAAGGTAGCAAAGAAATTGGCTGAATTATCTCCATGCCTGAGGGCTTTAGGGAAGGCTGAATTTAAGAGATAAGTACTAGGATAGCAGATTTCTAAGAAAATATTGACGGAACTGTGTGGCTACATTTATTTATTTTTCTATTTATTTATTTAGAGACAGAGTCTTGATTTGTCACACAGGCTGGAGTGCAGTGATGTGATCTTGGCTCACTGCAGCCTCTGCCTCCCAGGTTCAAGCAGTTCTTGTACTTCAGCCTCCCGAGTAGCTAGGATTACAGGCATGTGCCACCACACCTGGCTAATTTTTGTATTTTTAGTAGAGACAGTGTTTTGCCATGTTTGCTAGGAGGCCTCAAACTCCTTACCTTAACTGATCCGTGTGCCTTGGCCTCCCAAAGAGCTGGGATTACAGGTATGAGCTACCGTGCCCAGCCTTTGTGGCTACTTTTAACTGCACACAGTAATATATAAGAAAAAGAGAAATGATTTAAAGATGGGATTTATAATTAAAAGGGTATCAGGGCAAAAATATTTGGGAAATTCACAGCCTGGTCATATAAAGAGTGAAAAGGTCTTTAGGAGAGCAAACCAAGGGTGTGTCCCAAGTTACCATTTGCCAAAGAGACTACCATGAATAAAAAGGAGCCATGGGCTCATTAGCCTAAGTGAAGTAACTCAGAAATGGAAAACCAAACATTGTATGTTCACAGTCATAAGTGGGAGCTAAGCTATGAGGATGCAAAGGCATAAGAATGATATAATGGACTTTGGGGACTCGGGAGAACTGGTGGAAGTGGGGTGAAAGACAAAAGACTATATATTGGGTACAGTGTACACTGCTTGGGTAACGGATGAACCAAAATCTCAGGAATCACTATTAAAGAACTTACTTATACATGTAACCAAACACCACCTATTCCACCAAAAACCTGTTGAAATGAAAATAAATAAATAAATAAATAAATAAATAAATAAAAGGAGCCAGGCACTGTCTTTCAAAACAATGGGTGAAAGACCCCAAAGACATTTGAGAGATTTTTGAGGCTGCCTCTCCCATCACTGGCCCAGAGCAGGACCTTGATGCAGTTTCCAGAGGGGCACCTGAAGGACCACCACTGCTCTGTATGACCTAGGGACTCTGCTGCTTGAATTTCAGCACAGTGTCCCTTGGCCATCCCAACCATGGTTCAAGTGGGCCTAGGTGCATCTCAACCCACCACTCTGGAATGTACATACCTCATAAGCCTTGGTGGCATTCATGTGGTGTTAATTTTGCAGGTGCACAGAATGCAAGAGCTGTGGGGTCATGGTGGCCTCCACCTAGATTTCAAAGGTTATTATGGACAGCCTGGGGGTGCTCAGGCAGAGACTTGTTACAGCAGCAGAGCCACTGTAGGGAGCCCCCACCAGGGCAATGCCTAGTGGAGCCATGAGAGTTGGGAAGCCCCAAGAGCCCAGAGCTACAGGGCTACCAGTATGCAACTTCTGTCTGGGAGAGCTGCAGTCACAAGACTCCAAACTTTGAGAGCCGCAGCATGGCCTACATCCAGCAAAGCCATAGGGATGGGCTGGCCAAGGCCTTGAGGGCTCAACCCCTACCCCTGTGTGCTCAGAGGTCAGGACATAGAGTCAAGGAAAACTATATTAGAGATTTAATGTTTTATGTTGTTTTTCTTAATGGGTTTTGGACTTCCTTAGGACCAGTTACTGTTCTTACCTGTTTTTCCTTTTTGTAATGGAAATGTCCATCATGCTTATCTCATTGCATTTTGGAAACTCATAGCTGGTGGGAGTTTGCCTTAAGGTGAATCATGCCTTGAGTCTTACCCATATCTGATTTAGATGAGACTTTGGACTTTGGACTTTTGAGTTGGTGCTAGTATGAGTTAAGACATTGGGGCTTGTATTAGTCTGTTTTCACACTATTATGAAGACATACCCGAGACTGGATAATTTATTAAAAAAAAGAGGTTTAATTGACTTATAGTTCAGCATGACTGGGGAGGCCTTGGGACACTTAGAATCATGGCAGATGGCAAAGGGAAAGTGTATTAGTTCATTTTCATGTTGCTAATAAAGACATACCTGAGACTGGGTAATTTGTAATGTAAAAGAGGTTTAATGGACTCACAGTTCCACATGGCTGGAAAGGTCTCACAGTCATGGCAGGAGGTGAATAGGGAGCAAAGTTACTTCTTACCTGGTGGAAGGCAAGAGAGCTTGTGCAGGGGACCTCCCATTTATAAAATCATCAGATCTTGTGAGACTTACTCACTACCATGAGAACAGTATGGGGGAAATTGCCCCCCATGATTCAATTATCTCCATCTGGCCCTGCCCTTGACACATGGGGATTATTACAATTCAAAGTGAAATTTGGGTGGGGACACAGCCAAACCATATCAGGAAGCAAGGCACCTTCTTCACAAGGCAGCAGGAAGGAGAATGAACACAGGAGGAACTACCAAACACTTACAAAATCATCAGATCTCATGAGAACTCATTCACTATCATGAGAACAGCATGGGGAAAATCGCCCCCCTGATTCAACTACCTCCACCTGGTCTGTCCTTGACTCGTGGGGATTGTGGGGATTAGAATTCAAGATGAGATTTTGGGTGGTGACACAGCCAAACCGTATCAGGGCTATTGAGATGGAACGAATGTATTCTGCACATGAGAAGGACATAAATTTTGGGGGCTGGAGCAAATGCTAGGCTTTGAATGTGACCCTCAAAAAGTATGTGCTGGAAACTTAATTCCCAATGGAACAGTGTTGGGAGGTGGGGCCTAATGGGAGGTGTTTAGGTTATTAGGGCTCCACCATCATGAATGGCCTAACACTAATTATAAAAGGGCTTGAGGCTGCAAGTTCAGCCTCCTGCTCTTTCACCCTAACTCTTTTGCCATCTGCTGTGGGATGGTGTAGTAAGATCGCCTTCATGAGATGCTGAAGCACCTTTATATCAGACTTCCCAGTCTCCAGAACTGGGAGAAGTAAATTTCTTTCTTTTATAAATTAGCCAGTCTGTGGTATTTTGTTATAGCAACACAAAGTGGACTCAGATAGGGGCTCCAGAAACACCCCCATGATGTGTAAGCTAAGATTTACTTGGGAAAATATTCTAACTCACCATAATAGGCTGAATAATGACCTCCTTTCTCCAACCTGCCTGCCCCTCCCCTCCCCAAACATATCTATGTCCTAATCCTCAGAACTTGTGACTGTTACCTTATATGGCAAAAAGAGACTTTGCAGATGTGATGAAAGATCTTTCCATGGAGACATTATCCTGGGATATCTGAGAGCACCCGATAAAACCATAAGGGTCCTTATAACAGGATGGCAGGAGACTAGAGTCAGTAGTAGATATGGAATGACAAAGCAAGAATTGGTAGACATACAAGGATGAGGCCATGAGCCCAGGAATGCAGATAGCCTCTAGAAGCTGGAAAAGGCAAGGAAAGGGATTCTTCCTTGAAGTCTCCAGAAGGAATGGAACCCTGCTAGCCCTTTGGTTTTGGACTCTCGGCACTGTAAAACAATAAATTTTTATTATTTAAAGCTACTAAATTTGTGGTAATTCGTCATAGCAGCCATAGGTAACCTAAACACATGCTGACTTCAAATGAATCTTTTAATCTGTCTGTGATACATTGTATTTTTCCAAAGATGGTTCAAAAATGTCTTCCATTCCACATACCCTTCTACAGTGTCATTTTGCTGTGTCCTCATCAAGAGGTAGAATAAATCCCCCACCCACACCCTACTCTTTGAATCTGGGTGGACCCTGGGACCCCTTTGATCAATAGAATATGATAGAAGTGATACAATGTCCCATAACTGCCATGGCAGCTTGCTTTCTCTCTCTTAGAAGCTAGCTGTCATGAAAGAAGTGCCACTTTAAGACCAGCATGCTAAGAGAAACACCCACATGGAGAACTTTGAAGCATGATCTATCATATGGAAAGAGAGATGCCAAAGAACGTTAGCTCCATCTTGGACGCAGTCCCCTGCCCCAGCCATACTGGTTGACTCCATTGGAAGCAGAGACAAACAACTCAACCAAACTCTGCAAATATTTGACCCACAAATCATGAGAAAAATACAATGATTATTTAAGCTACTAATTTTGGGGATGGTTTGTTACTCGGCAAATGCTAAGTAAAACACCTTTTTTCTCTATAGTAAGCCGGTGACTGAACAATGAAGTAATACATATAGTGCCTTTAGTGCCTCTTAAGAAATATATTTTTGGCAATAAGAAACTCCTAGTTATGTTAAAGTTGCAAAGTATTTCATCTTTACAATTCCAGCTGTTATTTCTTAGTTTCCTAGTAGATATTGCTAGTAAGTACGTTGCTATATCTGATTTCACAGGGTTGTAGTGAAGAATGAAGGGAATGAAGTAAACCTGTTTTGTAATATAGAAGCATTATACACATATTATTGTATTAATCTCAGGGTTTAATTGTGTTTCTATAGCAGGCTGTATTGTGTTTCTATAGCAAGTAGAAACACAAACTGATTGTATTGACTTAAATATATATACTTTATAAATCAGACTCTGGTCAATAGATTTGAAGGTAACATCTCGTTTCTCTATGGAATTAAAAACATAGACTTATATGACAATAAATTTCTGTGCTAAACCAAGGTTTTTTTCACTTCTGACTTTAAGGTTCTTCTCCAGAGAGAAGAAGCTGTCACAGACCTATTTTTTATGATTCTGTATCTGTTGCCGTCTTGCTTGTAGATTTTTAATTTTTCAGAAAGGTAGATGGAAACATTTAGTGTTGCATTTTGAAGACTGAATCTTGTGAATCCACAGGAGCATAAATATCCTACCTCTTGGGACAGTTCCTACCATGAATTCAGATCAAGTATATGTGTCTACTGCAAGAAGATTATGTTCGTTTTTATTTTCAGTGTGTCTTCTCTCTTTTCAAACTGGGTTATTCACTGCTGCACATTAGTCAACTAATGCTTATCCTGACCTAAGAAGCTGTGTCAATGGTAAGCACTTCTACCATCAACTGAAAAAACAAAATAAAAACTCTGTAGGTAACGTACACCCATGCTAATATAAACTAATGTTTAAAAATTGAGAAATGATCCTTTGATGGGTTGTATGCCCAACAAGGAAGTATTTTCAGACTACATTTAAAATACTTGTTTATAGTTGTAAATGCTGCTGTATTACTCAAAATGAATTTTTTTGCCTAATGTGTAAACTGAACAGTGTTCTCTGTTTAGTAAGCTTTAGGTCATCAGCTTCGGAATTTTTATTCCCAACAGTTTCATTTTGGCTGTTGTTGCATAATCATGTAGTGTGACTAAATGTTAAAGTAGATTAATAGCTCAGAGTAGAGCCATGTTTATTCTTCTAACTTTTTGGCACTGATAATATAAAAGTGGAAAATGTTACATCAATCAAATTAGCTTTCTTGCTCTGAAGTTCACAAGGGGCCTAATGATAATTCTGGTACATTATTTTTGACTCTTTGTTGGAAAATTGGTAAATTAGTAAAAGCAAATGGTGCAACTGCAAGATATAAATTGTGATGTTTGTTCAGAGAATATTTTGCACCCAGAATTTACATTCTCTAGATATTCATTTAACTGTGTTTTTCTCTAATTTAAAGTGCTTGTAATTACACAGATAGAATAGTTTGTCTGAACACGTATATTTAATTATTTAATTCATGCTTTATCTTTTCTTAAAATTTACCAAAGAACAGAAGAATAATAATTTTGATAAAATTTTTCTATTAGTTTCTTTTCTATGATTTTTAACTAATACCTAAGTATTGCCACATCTCAAAAAAACTTGATCTGATGAAGACTTTTTAAAAAAATTGTGGAATTAATTAGGCATTAGCTAGGTTGGTTATTTATTTATTTAACAACAAAAATTGTCTTTGGCTAACATATGCAAAGAGATAGAAATATTGGCAGTATTGGGAGTATTGGAAGTATCGGAAGGATGGGAAGAACATGTACAGTTGACTGGGAAGTTGAGAAGCTGGTGTGGAAATGTGCAGAAACCAAGGGACTATTGCAGTATCTAACGAGGGGACAGAAATTACAAATAAAAAAAAAAAGGCATGTCTTTTGCCATATTGATAAAGTGCTTTGATATTTTAGGAAGAAAATAAACAAGGTACTATAATTGATCTTTACTTGTACTTTATCTTTTTTTTTAGACAAGCTCTTGCTCTGTTGACCAGGCTGGAGTGCAGTGGTGCAATCATGGCTCACTGCAGCCTCAACCTCCTAGGTTCAAGCAATCCTCCTGCCTCAGCTGCCTGAGTAGCTGGAACTATAGGCACATATCATTACTCCTTGCTAATTTATTTTTCATAGAGATGGGGTCTTGGGTGTGTTGTCCAGGCTGGTCTCAGACTCCTGGCCTCAAGCAATCTTCCTACCTGGGCCTCCCAAAGTGCTAGGATTACAGGCATGAAACACCATTCCAGGCCTTACTTTGTACTTCTTAATATTGCTTTTTTCTCTGGTAATATTCCTTATTCTAAAATCTATCTTATATTAATATTGTCACTGGCTTTCTTTTGATTAGTGTTTTTATGATTTACTTTTCCATCCATTAACTTTGAACATACCAGTGTGTTTGTATTTCAAGTGAGTTTCTTTAGGTCTTGCTGTTTTCTCCAATCCGACAATCTCTGTCTTTTAATTGGAGTGTTAGACTGTAGACATTTACATTTAATGTTACCATTGATGATGGCTAAAGTCTGTTAATCCCATCTGTTCTTTGCTTTTTTTTTTTTTTCTTTTCTTACTGCAATTGTATTGATTAATTGAGTTTTTCTTTGCGGTGGGGGGGAGTTGATTCCATTTTATCTCCTCTGTTATTAATTATGCTTCTCAAACTTCTTTTACTCATTTCTTTTCTTTTCTTTCTTTCTTTTTTTTTTCAGTCAGGATCTCACCCTCTATCCCAGGCTGGAGTGTGGTGGGGTGATCATAGCTCACTGCAACCTTGAACTCCTGGTCTCAAATCCTTCTTCCCTTCTGCCTCAGCCTTCTTAGTAGCTAGGACTACAGGCATGTAGCACCATGTCCAGCTAATTTTTAAATTTGTTTGTAGAGATAGGGTCTCACTTTGTCACCTAGCTACAAATCCTGGCTTCAAGTGATCTTTTTGCCTTGGCCTTCCAAAGTCCTGGGATTACAGGCATGAGCCACTGTGCCAGGCCTCATTTCCTCTATTTTTTTGTGCTGTTTCTGCCTTACATTTTAATATTATACATTATAAACTCCATGATATGTTAATTTATAAATAGCTTATCAAATGAGAAAATATTGTTTTATTTATGTATTTATTTATTTGTTTATTTATTCATTCATTTATTTATTTTTGATACAGAGTCTCATGCTGTCATCTAAGCTGGAGTGCAGTGGCACAATCTCAGCTCATTGCAACCTCTGTCTGATGGATTCAAATCCTTCTTGTGCCTCAGCCTCCCAAGAAGCTGGGATTCTAGGCCTGGCTAATTTTTTGTATTTTTGTGGAGACAGGGTTTTGCCATCTTGCCTAGGCTGGTCTCAAATTCCTGGCCTCAAGTGATCCACCCACCTTGGCCTCCCAAAGTGCTAGGATTACAGGCATGAGCCATTGGCACCTGGCCCAGAAAACATTGTTCTGTATTTTCTCTTATGTTTATCATTTCTGGCATTCCATATTCTTTTTTGTAGATCTACATTTCCATCTGACAACATGTTCCTTCTGCCTGAAGAAATTCCTTTAACATTTCTTAAGCTACATATCTGATGAAGATGGATTTTCTCTTTTTTTCTTGAGAGAGAGAGTCTTGCTCTGCCACCCAGGCTGCAGTGCAGTGGCACAATCTTGGCTCACTGCAAGCTCCGTCTCCCAGGTTCATGCCATTCTCCTTCCTCAGCCCCCCGAGTAGCTGGGACTACAGGTGCCTGCCACCATACCTGGCTAGTTTTTTGTATTTTTAGTAGAGATGGGGTTTCACCATGTTAGCCAGGATAGTCTCGATCTCCTGACCTTGTGATCCGACTCCCTCGCCCTCCCAAAGTGCTGGGATTACAGGCATGAGCCACCGCGCCCAGCCTTTCTCATATTTTTTAATTAAAAAATAGTATATTGCCTTTATTTTGGGGAGATATTTTTATTGGGTAAAGACTTCCATGTTGATAGTGTTCTGTCAGTATGTCAAAGATGTCTCTCTATTGTCCTTTCACTTGAATAGATGCTGATGGGAAATCTGCTGTTATTCTTAGCTTTTTTTTTTCTCTATGTATGCACTGTGTTTTAGATTTCTGTTTTTCCCTGGTGTTCTCTAATTTGACATAGTATTTTTAGGTTTATCCTGATTGATGTTTAGTGGGCTTCTTGGATCTGTGTGTTCATAGTTTTCATCAAATTTAGAAAACGATTTACTATTATTTATTCATATTTCTTTTTTCTTTTTCCCTGCTATCTTTCCTCTTCTCTTAAATGTCAATAACATGTATTAGGCGATTTCATATTGTTTAACAAGTCATTCATGCTCTAGTTATTTATCAATTTATTTATGTATTTGTTGTTTTTATACTTCTTATCTGTACTTCCTTGATTTTGGATAGTTTTTATGTCTTCAAGTTCACTCTTCTTTTCTCCTCTCATGTATAATTTACTTTTAATCCCATTTAGTGTATTTTTCTTTTTATATAGTTCATTTTTCATTTCAATAAGTTCCATTTGGGTCTGTTCCACATCTTCTATTTTATTTTATTTTTTTCATCATGCCTATATTTACTACTGGAACATGTGGAGGGCATTTAGAATAATTTTATTTATTTATTTTTCTGATTTTTGGTCATCTCTTTCATTTTGGATATATTTTCACCTATTGACTTTTCTCTTGGTTATAAATTAGGTTTTTCTTGTTTCTTTACATGCCTATTTATTTTTTAACTTAATTTTATATTGTATTTTATTTTATTTGGATATAAGGTATCACCGTTACCGAGGCTGGGGTCCAGTGGTGTGATCATACCTCACAGTAACTTCAAACTCCTTGACTCAAGCTATCCCCCTCCCTTAGCCCCTCAAATGGCTGGGACAACAGGCATGTTCCCCCAACCACAGCTGGGGAATTTATTCTTTAAATTAATTTTAAAGATTACATCTCGCTATGTTGCCCAAGCTGGTCTTAACTCCTGGCCTCAAGTGTCCTCCCTCCTCTGCCTCCCATAGTGCAGAGTGAACCACTGCATCTGACCTCTACTTATTTTTAATTGTTTACTGGACCAAGCAAACAATACTATTCTCAGTATAAATAGAAAAAAGAACTTGGAATTTTCAATTTGGGCTAAGATGATGTAATAGGGACCAAGTTTATCCTCCTGCCTTAAATAAGTAGAACTTTGGTCTAAGTATATAAAATAATGGTTTTGAACAGTGGAGAACAGGAAGCAGAACACTGTGACTCCTAAGGAAAAGAAAATAAGCTTACAGCTTATGTTACTGGGTCCTGGATTTTCTTGTCTTCTTCCAAATAGTGTTGGATTTTGTTGTGGCATTTAGGTAACTTATGTGAAATACATTAAAAACAAATGTTTTGAGGTTTGATTTTAAGCTCTGTTAAGGCAATCTCGAGTAGCCATTAGCTTAAAACTAATTTAGCCTCAATAATAAGTCTATATCCTTGTGAGGATTCTACCTGATGCCCTTTGTACTATGAAATATTTTAGGTCTGGGCAGTCTAAAACAAACTATCTCTATCCCTCTATGAGCTCTGGAAATTTTCCTGTGTAAATCATCATTCAGCCAAAGACCCTAGGGGATCATTTTGCAGATCTCTGGAGACTGTCTTTCTCTTTTCCTCTATCTCTCTTTCTCTCTCTCTTTCCATACACACACATTTTTCCCTTTCTCTTCCTTTATGGTACTCTGACCAGCAAAATTCTAATTTGATCTCCCCAAACTCCAATATTTGTTTTCTCAACCCAGGGAGACCACTGGGATCTGTTTGTGTTTCTTGTACTGTTGCATAGAAGCTATCTCCAGGCAGTAATGTGGTCCAATTGTAGGTCTCAGCTTGTTCATTTTCTTTTCCTTAGGAATCACAGTGTTCTCCTTCCTGTTCTCCAATGTTTGAAAAACCATTATTTTACATAGTTAGATTGAATCTCTACTTATTTAAGGCAGGAAGATAAATCTGTTCCTTGTTACATCATCTTAGCCCAAATTGAAAGTTTTCTTTTTACTTTTTCTTTCTTTTTTTTTTTTTTTTTTTTTTGAGAGAAAGCCTTGCTGTATTGCAGTGGCATGATCTCGGCTTGCTGCAGCTTCTGCCTCCCAGGTTCAACAATTCTTGTACTTTAGATTCCCGAGTAGCTGGGACTACAGGAGTGTGCCACTATACCCAGCTAAGTTTTGTATTTTTAGTAAAGACAGGGTTTCACCTTGTTGTCCAGGCCTCAAGTGATCTGCCTGCCTTGGTCTCCCAAAGTGCTGGGATTACAGGTGTGAGCCATCATGCCTAGCCTCTTTTTTCTCTTAATGTTGAGAATAGTATTGTTCTGTCTACCTTATGGAATTGTTCTAAGGCTCAAATGAGGTAATATATTTGGAAAAATATCTAAATTACAACTATGAAATACTATATATACTTTCAATGCAAAAGAAGTGTTATGGGATCTTTGGGGTGTTGCTTTTCTGGCTGGAAACTTCTGTGGCTGGTGGTGCCTTTGCCTGAGTTCTTGTCCTGGATCCATGAAGAATGAGATATGCAGAAAAGTGGAGGGTGAGCAAGATGAATAGGAGCTTTACTGAGCATTAGAACAGCTCAGAGGAGACCCTCAGTGGGTAGCTCATCTCTGTAGGCAGGTTGTCCCATCAAGTGTTCAGCTCTCAGCAAACAGGAGGACTTGAAGCCAGGTCATCCCATTGTCTCTGCAGCTCTCAGTAGAGAGGAGGCCTAGAGTGGGTGGCTGCTCTCTGCAGCTGGTTGTCCCATCAGCAGCTCTCAGCAGAGGAGGGCCTGGAGAGGGTGGTTCTCTGCAGACAGGTCATTCGATGTCTGCAACTCCCAGTACAGAGGAGGCCCTGGAGATAATAGCTCCTTTCTGCAGCTGGTTGTCTGGATATCTGTTGTGCTCTGGCTGAGTCTAGAGTTTTTATGGTCTTCATTTTTATGGTCTTCAGAGGAGGAAAGTACATGCTGACTGGTCCATGGGCTGCCATGGGTGGGCCCAGGAAAAAGCACCAAGTGTTCCCCTTTCAGTCAGCAGGACTGACAGCCCAGCCCACAGGCCCCAGGCCTTCCCCAGCCTGAAGGTGGGACTTCACAGGGACCCACCCTTTTCCACCTAGGAAGCTGTCTACCTCCTGCCACTGTTCATGGCACCCAGCCTGTTTGTGCCGAGGGGGTGCCTGCAGGCCAACACTGAGCTGCCCTCAGCACCGCCCTCAGCTCCCTTCCCATGCTTGTTGGAGCCCAAAGACTGGAGGGGGCAGGGGCTGGCATGTTAGCACTGCCCTGAACCTATGCCCACCCGGCCTGGCTGCAAGAGCAGCTGGCTTCAGCTCCAACCTTGCTCCATGACCAGAGTGGGTGCCAGGAGTGAGGAGAGGCCAGGAAGCAAGAGCAGGCACTGCTGAGCCTGTGGTGGGCAGAATGGGCTTTCCCAGGCCCTCAAGAGCACAGAGATGCCCAGGTTTCCAGCCAGGCTTGGGCAGCTGCAGCTGCACTCAGGGCACTCTTGTCCCACCAGTTTGAAAGGGGTGGGGCTCCCCCTTGTCCTTGGTTTTCACCAGCTCTGGGGCATGTGTAGCCCCAGCCATGCCTCTAAGATCAGAGTGGATGCCTGCTGTGGGGAGAAGCCTGGCAGCAGGAGCAGGACCCCAAGAGCACAGAGACACCCAGGTCCGGAGCCATGACAGGGAAGCTGCAGCAGCATCCGAGGAGTGTGGGACTCCTACTTGCTCCATGGAGTGGGAGGCCCTGGCCCACCTCCCCGCTGCAGCAGGCATCTTGGCAGCGGCCACTGTAGATGGGCCACTGCTGCCATCTGTAGTTTACTTTTACAAAATAATTATAAATATTTGCCTAATGGGCTCACTTTTTAATTTAAGAAAAGTATTATTTAAAAGAAGGAGTTGTGTTTTTTTTTTTTTTTTCATTGGTTCTAGACTTCAGGATTTTTATTATAGTGCACACAATTTTATTTTACCATGACATTAGGTAAAAAAAATAAATAGATGTCTATTTCCTTCAGCCATTCCAGACCAATGTAGTCCTCTGCCATGCAATGCAGATGGATATATGAGTTGCAAAGAAGGAAAAGCTTCTTTTACTTGCATTTGTAAACCAGGTTGGCAAGGAGAAAAGTGTGAATTTGGTATGTATAGTAACCCCTGCCCCCCAGCTCATCAGGATTGGTCTCCTGAAAAGTTCTCTGCTGGTTATATTACTTTAAAAATAATTTATTTTTTTCCTGTTTTAGACATAAATGAACGCAAAGATCCCTCAAATATAAATGGAGGTTGCAGTCAAATTTGTGATAATACACCTGGAAGTTACCACTGTTCCTGTAAAAGTGGTTTTGTTATGCTTTCAAATAAGAAAGACTGTAAAGGTAAGAGCAGGATGGTAGAATTAAAACACATTTACTGTGTGAGAATAATCCCAGTTAGAGAAATTTTACTAGCAAATTTTTAGAAAAATGATTGTAAGTGCTTATACTAACACATTTTTATCAACATTGAAGCCTTGTGATATTGTGGAACTGCTTTTTAGATTTTGTTTGTTTTTGAGAGATAGGGTCTCACTCTGTCTCCCAGGCTGGAGTGGAGTGGCTCCATCATGGCTCACTGTAGCCTTTACCTCCCGAGCTTAATTGATCCTCTGACTTCAGCCTCCGAAGTAGCTGGGGCTGCAAGTGCATGCCACCATGCCCAGCTAGTTTTGTTTTGTATTTTTTGTAGAGATGGGGTTCCATCATGTTGCCCAAACTGATCTTGAACTCAAGTGAGCCTCCTGCCTCAGCCTCCCAAAGTGCTGGGTTTACAGGTGGGAGCTCTGTGCCTGACCTGCATTTTAGTTTACAGTACTGATAACACGATTTTTTAAAATTTTCTTATTATATGTGCATGTACAGACTTGTGTGCATGTTTCAATAAGGAATTTTATTATAAAGTGACGTTTCAATGCAAGTCTTTGCATGCTACAAACTTTGCAAAATAATTGTTTATCCTTTGTTTTCAGACGTTATATTTTTTATTTTCTTCTAGTAAGATAAATAGCCATAGAAAGAAATCCACTGCAATAACTTCTTCCATTGTATTTTATTTTTCCTTTTCAGAAATACTTTTCTGATTTCCAACATCAACTCTTCATCTGGCACCTCATTTCCTGCTGTGGTTTTGGGAAAGTAAAAGATCTAGTTTTCTTTCTCTTTATACCTTTAAGATCATATCATTGGTCATAACTCCTTTTTCTCCTTCAGACTTAAATATTCCCTGTTAGTTTAGTTTTCTAACAAGTCATTTTACTAGTGCATTTCTTTTGTTTTTCATTGTTTTCCTATCCCTAAATTTTGACTTTTTTTCTCTCTGTATACTGTCTTTCAGTTTGCCTGTGTTAATGCTATGACTAAATCTTCAAGTGTTCATACCAGGTGTATGGATGACTAAAAACGAAATTTCCCACCTGGACTTAAAATTTGTCTTTAGAAACTGGATACAATTAATATCCAAGTTCTCTCCTCCACTACTTTTTTTTTTTTTTTTTTTGCTAAAATGTTAAAAAAAAAAAATAAGTTAAAATGTGAATTTCTTGTTCAACTCTTTATTTTATATATGTTTTGATAAAGCCCTAAATTGGATTCATGTTCAAATCGTCTATCTCTTACTGAATAGCAGTGTTTAGTATGATAAAATGTACTATAATGTTATTTAAACTGCAGTTAAATGACTCTAAAGTGAACTACATCAACAACAAATTCTTCTAAACAGTTATCCAATTTGTGACCATGTATGTTTCTTATCTGCCTATTTGAAGGTCTGAGTTTGGATTCTGATACTGCTTAGAATAAGACTGTCATTAGAACATGAGTGATAGAAAAACCATCACAATGCTGGATACCATCTGCATTTTGTAAACAAATAGTACCCATTCATACTTCTACTCTTAAATACTCTCATAGTCTCTTTCTAAAGAATTTGTGTTTTTATTGTTTTTTTAAGATAGACAGGGTTTCGCTCTGTCACCTAGGCTGGAGTGCAGTGGAACGATCTCAACTCACTACAGCCTCAACCTCCTGGGAGGTCCTCTCACCTCAGCCTCCCAAGTAGCTGGGACTACAGGCGTGCACCACCATGCCTGGCTAATGTTTGTAGCTTTTGTACAGATACAGATGGAGTTTTCTCATATTGTCCAGGCTGGTCTCAAATTCTTGGGTTGAAGCCATCCATCCAATTCAACCTCACAAGGTCATGGGATTACAGGCATGAGTCACCACACGTGGCTAAATTTGTGACTTTTTAAAAACTAAAAAGTATTTAATTCTTATCCACTCAGTTAATACACATATATATGTGTAAATGATTACAAAAGTGCTCTTATTAATAGGAATGTTCCTGATGACCACATCTGTCCTTATATTCATTTGCATTATTGTTTACCCATGATATGTAAGTAATAGCGTAGAAAACAGATAGAAGAATATATAAAAATCGATTACAGCCAGGCGCGGTGGCTCACGCCTGTAATCCCAGCACTTCGGGAGGCCGAGGCGGGTGGATCAGGAGGTCAGGAGATCGAGATCATCCTGGCTAACACGGTGAAACCCGGTCTCTACTAAAAGTACAAAAAATTAGCTGGGTGTGGTGGCGGGCGCCTGCAGTCCCAGCTACTCTGGAGGCTGAAGCAGGAGAATGGCGTGAACCCGGGAGGCGGAGCTTCCGGTGAGCCGAGATCGCGCCACTGCGCTTTAGCCTGGACAACAGAGGGAGACTCCGTCTAATAAAGAAAAAAAAAAAAAAAACTATTACAATGGGACGTTTGCCAAGATGTAGAAATGGTTGGGATCCAGTTGCCAGTAACTGTCTAAAGATGAAAGAATAAATAAAACTTTTCTCTTTCTTCTTCTTCTTTCTTCTTTTTTCTTTCTTCTTCTTCTTCTTCTTCTTTTTTTTTTTTTTTTTTTTTTTTTTTTTGAGACAGAGTCTCGCTATGATGCCCAGGCTGGAATGTAGTGTGAGCTTGACTCACTACAACCTCTGTTTCCCGGATTCAAGTGATTCTCTTGCCTCTGCCTCCCGAGTAGCTGGGACCACAGACGCACGCCACCACGCCTGTCTAATTTTGTATTTTTCGGTAAAGACGGGGTTTTGCCATGTTGACCAGGCTGGTCTTGAACGCCTGAGCTCAAGTGATCTGCCTGCCTTGGCCTTCCAAAGTGCTGGGATTACAGACATGAGCCACTGTGCCCAGCTGAAAGCATAAAACCTTTCAATCAAACATTAGATGTCAGTGTGGAGTCATAAAACCAATGCACTGTAACTTAAACTTGTATGATCTAAATAATTCCCTGAAATATGCCTCAAACCAAATACACTTATTGACATATTTTTACTGATTTTATTATATTTTATTATTTATTTATTTAGTGACAGGGTCTCCCGCTGTTGCCCAGGATGGAGTGGAGTGGTGCAATCATAGTTCAAGGCACTCCAGCTTCTGGGTTCAAGTAATCCTCTTGCCTTATCTTCCTTAGTAACAAGAACACATGCCACCACTCCTGGCTAATGTTTTTCTCTTTTGCTTTTTTTTTTTTTCAATATATAGAAGTGGTGTTCCACCATGTTGCTCAGGCTGGTCTCGAACACTTTGCTTCCCAAAGTGCTAGGATTATAGCACTGCCGCCATGCCCGGCCCACTCCTGGCTAATTTAAGAAAAAAAAAACTTTGTAGAGACAGTGTCCCACTGTTGCTCAGGCTTACTTTATTTCAAAAACATAGAGTTTTTAGCTCTTTTTAAAAAATTGGATATTTTACTTTGAATTAAAGATTCACATGAAGTTGTAAGAAGTAATACAGAGAGATGCTATGTACCCTTTACCCCGTTTTCCCTTAAAGGTAACATTTTACAAAATGGTAGTACAATTTCACACTCAAGACATTGACAATGATACAGTGAAAATATAGAAAAATTCCTACAAGGGAACTGGTTTTATTATTTTTGTGCAAGTTATTTTAAATAATATCCTAAATTTTGATGATTAATCTGGAAAAAAAGCTGTCAACTTTTAGAATAGAAAACATATTTTCTGTTCTGAATTTGTCTTTCTCCAGAGAGTACACAGAAGGGTTCACTAATAATTCCATCTCCGTTGAACTATTTCTGTCACATGTTTTGTTTTCTTCACAGGTCCTCATCTAGTAACTAGTTACTATCAATATGTTGTCTCCTTCTTAATTTCACAATATAATATGTGCATCTGAAATTTCTGGAATATCCATTTAGCACTAAATTCATATTGGATTAACTACAGATTTATAAGTACTTAGAGACTTTAATCTTATTTTAAATTTGAATCACTATTGTCTACTTTAGACAACAATAGTAGTGTATAAATTAGATATTTGTTCTTTTCCAAAGAAACAAGATCAAATAGATGAGCCATCCCATCTACAAAAAAAATACTTGTGATAATATGCAGTGAATCTGTTTCCAAGACTTCCATTTATTGTCATACCACAACCTGGCAAATAAGAAAATTTCTAAAGCTTTCTCCTTAACATAACTAGAAAGGAACATGGCAAACATCAATCAAATTCCCTGTGCATTTGTAGAAAGAAATCATATTTAGTGAACTAACATATGATGATAGATTTAATGTTTTTTTTTTTGTCCGAAGGCCAATCTGTTATCTCATTACATACAGTAAACTAGATCCAGGAAACAAAAATCAAGAGTTCTTTGCTAGTGTCTGCTGGTATGGGAAAAATGTTTTTAATATAGTGATTTTATTTATAGATGTGGATGAATGCTCTTTGAAGCCAAGCATTTGTGGCACAGCTGTGTGCAAGAACATCCCAGGAGATTTTGAATGTGAATGCCCTGAAGGCTACAGATATAATCTCAAATCAAAGTCTTGTGAAGGTAGAATGATGGTGGTGTCATTACTGATGGTGGAGAGGTTGGGTGTGAACCCTGAAATGGTATTTAAAAGCATTGGTTTTGTTTGACATCAACAGTCATATTTTCTTATCCCTAATATAGCTTGTTCAATTGGGTGATCATTGGCTTCCTTCCTTCCAGAGTAAGAGTATGTAAGGTATATGCTCTTTAAGTTTAGTGTTATGCACGCCAATTGGCCCTTTGAGCTACCTATGAATTGGAGACCTCCATGTGTGATAAAAACAAGATAAACATATTTTCACGTCATTTACATCATATTCAAAGATAAAGAGAATTTCACTTTGGAAGGAAAAACAATAGATGATAGAAAAGAAAGACACAAGCTTAGAAATCATCTGAGTGAGACAATGAGCATGGTTAAAACTTTAGTTTTTATTCCAAGCTTTTCAGTGATTTTTCTGTGCATATATAAATAAATCATTTATTCTAAAATAAAAAATGACACAGTTCTATTATCTCATGATAAAGAAATGATAACAATACTTTAGAAATTTAAGAAGTATTGATCAGTAATGTCAGAGCCTGTGGGTTTGGGGCAACCCCTTGAAGGTGCTATTACTTCATGTGACTGCAGTGGCACTGCCCTGTGTGCCTCAGGAAGCTTCAATATATTATAGTTGTTTGTTTGTAGGTTTGTTTATTATGATATACAGATTATCTCATACCTTCCTTTCGATTTCTTAAAATTTTAAAACAGATTTAATGCCATGGCTGGAACTAATTAATACTAATTTTTCTATTGTGGCTGTATATATATATATATATATATATATATGTGTGTGTGTGTGTGTGTGTGTGTGTGTGTGTGTGTGTTTGTATATTCACACACATGTATAATGTACCTTTTAAAAATAGATTTAGGGGGTACAAGTACAGTTTTAATGTACTCTTTTAACCATTTTTAAATGTACAATTCAGTGGCATTAATTACATTCATGCCTTTATGCAGCCATCAATGGTATTTCCAAAGTTTTTCTTCAGCCCCAACAGAAACTTTTAAGTAGTAACCATTAAGCAGTGAGTTTTCTTTTATTAGTTACCTTGATGGCGGTAACCTGTAATCTTGTTTTCTGTCTCTATGAAGTTGCCTAAATCAATAATAATTTTACAATATATTTTTTAACTACGTATGCTGTTTTTGAGATTTTGATGTCCTATCATCTCCTTTTGCACTCACCAAAAATATTCCCCTGCCCCCCACACACACATTTCTCCTTTCCCACCATTGCAGATAGAAATTACTGTGGAAAACTCTAGATGTCTGCAAGATTTATCATTAGCCAACTTCATCACCTGTACTGTAGTTTTATTTAATGAATGACATATTTTTTAAAAAGATTTATATATGACTCTATCTATCTATAACTTTAATAATAAGCCATTTTAATGCTAAGGATTATTAATTTTGGGAATCTATTTTAAATTATTTTATGAGAACATAATCAATAATAGCATTTATGAACTTGTGGAGTTTTAAAGGTCATAGGGCATATCCAATGAAAATGTCAATGATCTTATATAACTCTGAGATAGATGTTTGCTTCAACATAATATTATAAATTTCCAAGAATGATTTTCTTAAAGTATGGAGTAGGGACAGGGACCATGTAGAAGATTTCATAATATGGGAGATTACATCACAGTGAGGTTTTTATTTGGAAAAAAAAAACAGAAAGATATTTCCCTAAATTCACTGGCACCATTAATTATGGCATTATGAGGGTTCCAATGTTCTTGATATTGTCATTTAATTCCTGATTGTATCAACCTTCAGTTAAAGGGGTCTTTTCTTCCCTTCCCTTCCCTACGTTTCCTTTCCTTTACTTCCCCATCATCCTCTCCCTTCCTCTTCCCCTTCTCATTTCTTTTTTCTTTTTTTCAAAGCAATGAATTGTGAGGTAATCTCAATGGGATTCAAATAATCAGAAATGACAGTTAGGTTGAGATTCTCAATCTTTTTTTCCTTCAAATTCAAAATGAGAAATTTGGTAGAATTGTTATACTTTACTTAATCACTGAAAGTCATAAATTAATTTTTGTTTCAAATATGTAAATAAATAAAAATTATACTTGTAAGTCGTTTAAATTTCCATGTTAAGTATTATATTTAAATGTAGTTTGATGTCATAGTATTTCTTTCCCTAAGGCTTGATTATCATTGATTATATCATACTACAATCATAATATTCCTGTGCCTATAAGATTGAACATTTAGGAGATATTAAAGTTTGTGTGTGTGTGTGTGTGTGTGTGCGCGCGTGTTTACCTCAGATATAGATGAACGCTCTGAGAACATGTGTGCTCAGCTTTGTGTCAATTACCCTGGAGGTTACACTTGCTACTGTGATGGGAAGAAAGGATTCAAACTTGCCCAAGATCAGAAGAGTTGTGAGGTAAACATTTTACAAAGCTTAACTTCTCACCGTTTTCTAAAATGAGAGATCCTAGATACTTATTTTCACATAGCTGAGTTAGGTCAGGAAAATACAGTCGTTCTACAATAATTGCTGAGCTTTAAGCAGGTTATGAGTCATTATTATTTACTAATTATGGTCATGTAAGTAATAAACATTGGGGATAATTAGTGACTGGGTTTAAAAAAAAGAGTATAGAGTCACAGTTTAGAGAGTACTTATCTGTAGCCTGTACATTTATAAAATACAACTTGTATGTTTACTTAAGAAATCAAGAAAAGCTGAGTTTAATAGCCCTCATTGTGAAAAATTCTCCCACAGAAACTTCGGTGAAAACATTTTCCAGTGTCTACTTTTCTGGATTCCACTCTGACTAGTTTGATCATGCCTTAGGCATTTTAAGGTTTATAAAGTGCTCATAAAGTTTCAGAGGGTACAAGTGCAGTTTTAATGTACCCTTTTAACCATTTCTAGGATTTAGTGGGGTTAAGTATATCATAATTCAGAGAGGTTGATTTCTTAATCTGTGTCTCTCAAACTTGCTTTTAGTTACTTAGATTTAATGCATAATTGACCCAGGAATTGAATATTGGGGGTAGGTGCTCATTTTTACTTCATTGAAATAAATGTCACCATCTGAGCTCTTTTTTTTCCTGCATATTTTTTTGACAAGTGAAGGTAAAATTATATATAATTATGAGGCAGACCACAAAAAAATGCCTAAATAATGATTTAACTAAGTGTACACACATACCTCTATATCTGTTGCCAAGACAAAGCTGTATGTGTCCAGAAAAATGTCACATTCAATCATGTGCAACCTACTTGGTAATAAGCTAATTGCCGCGTGTAGTAATTTTGGTATGGTACTACTTAATTGAAATGCCATGCTGTGTGAACATCTATCTTGTACTTTAGTCCTTTATCATTTGGTGTAACTATTTGGTGTAGTTACATATCACCGTCTGCCTTGAAATAGACTTATTAAAGTTTTAAGGGGAAATAAAATATTATTTCTGGGCCTATACTTAATACAGTGCTATGTACGTAGTTCTCCTTAAAATATCCTCATAGGTGCTCAATAATTTATATGTTTAAAGCTTTTCATTTTAATGTTTGTTTTCACTCGTAGAAAAAAACACTTGATACCATATGTGATCACTTTAAATAATCTTCTTGTAAATTCCTTGGAGACTATGAGACCTTAATTTATATTTATTTCCTTCATGTTTTCCAGTATTCCCTTTACTATCTAGATAGCACATTCTTGCTCAGAAAACTTTTGCTTAATAAATGAATGAGTGAATGAATGAGGTGCTGTTTATTGGTACATTAATTCTTACACCTATTTCTGACTTCAAATAAAAATAATTTTCAGACATAATTCATGGGAGATATTACACCTGACTGTTAATTAAAGAAATATATATTGGTTCTTGAAGAAAGAGTTTGTGTTTAGGACGAAAATTTGCAAAGGAAGTATTAAAGACAAAGATCGAAAGCCATGCACATTGAACGAGACTTTAAAACACACGTATTCTTGGAGGTTATACTGATAGATAGACTATACAAGGAAATGGAAGATATGTCTTTATTATTACCAAAAATATTCTTAATTATTTTAGTGTATTACAGATGATACATTAGTAACCAAACAAGAATACATGACCTCACACAAACATTAAGCAATAACCTATGCATTTTGATTTTCTTGTAGTTTATTTGGTTTCTTTTACTCCAGGTTGTTTCAGTGTGCCTTCCCTTGAACCTTGACACACAGTATGAATTACTTTACTTGACAGAGCAGTTTTCAGGGGTTGTTTTATATTTAAAATTTCATTTGCCAGAAATCAGCAGGTGAGGAACCAATACCAATGATAATTTCTAGAGGTTAAGCAGATAAGGGCAGAAGAAAAGTGGCCGAAAAGGTTTGAAGTGTGTGAAATTGTATTACCTATCAGATAATGTAGTCATATTACCAATCAGATGACTTGGGGAAACCTAAAGTTAATTTACTCCTTCACACATGTAATTTTCATGCTAAAACCTTTTTGAGTCATTCTAGGCTGACTTTCCCCAATGAACATTTTACATTATTCCATATTATTCCTTTTGTAGAAAATGCATATTTACTAAGAAGCTGGGAAAGTAGATTTAATGTAC
Source organism: Homo sapiens (assembly GCF_000001405.40). NCBI lineage: Eukaryota > Metazoa > Chordata > Mammalia > Primates > Hominidae > Homo > Homo sapiens. The sequence goes on along the minus strand of NC_000003.12, from coordinate 90,225,227 downwards.
TTGTGAAATTTCCATTATTCTTTACACATGTTATGAAAACTAGGTAATAAAAAATACTCAGCATTGCTTTTAGAATATCATTATATTCAAAATTATTAAGGAAAAAATTTAAACTTGCTTAAGTGGCATTTTAAAGACATACATTACATAATTTTAGTTGGCTATCTAAATACTTTATCCATTATTATCATAGTTAGATTGAGTTAAGAAATGAAGTAATTGCTTATTTTTTTAGTCATGATTCTACCTTATTTTTTTATAGCAATGTTTATGATCCAATTTTTATTTTATTTTATTTATTTATTTTTGATACAGAGTCTTGCTCTGTTGCCCAGGCTGGAGTGCAGTGGCACAATCTTGTCTCACTGCAACCTTCGCCTCCCAGGTCAAGCAATTCTCCTGCTTCAGCCTCCTGAGTAGCTAGGACTACAGGCGTGAGCCACCACACCCAGCTACTTTTTGTATTTTTAGTAGAGACAGAGTTTTACCACGTTGCCCAGGGTGATCTCAAACTCCTGACCTCAGGTGATCATCTCAGGTGATCTGCCATAATTGTACTTTAGTTATCAGATTTTCTCAGAAGCATACATTGTTGGAAGTAAAAGAAAGAAATTGGATTTTTTTTTTTGGAATAATGAGAAGGAAAAATACTTGAGACAGATTATACAGTTCAAATTTTAAAATATTTTAATTAAATAAGCATGTGTGTTTAGAATTTAATGTTAGATACATGAATGATTATTCATTAAATAATTCAACTAAATTCATAGACATTATTAAAAACATTGAAAATTATTCTAAGATCAATAACTTACATAAATACTTAAGCAACTGTGCTCCTTCCACACTTTATTTCTCCCAATATGTGGTTTTTTCCTTTAACATCACAGAGCAAGTAATATCTTCTAATGATAGAGATGGGAGAAAACCCTTCCCTGCTATGAGAATAATGAGAATGACAGAAAAATATTTGTTGTAGTAAATAATGCTTTTAGGAATACAATTGATCCTCCAAATCCTTGAGTTCCTCATCTGTGGATTTAACCAACTTCGGGTAGATAATATTCAGAAAAAAACACAATGACAATACAATACACAATAATACAAATAAGACACAATACAGTATGACAACTATTTACATAATATTTACATTGTATTGAGTATTATACATAATGTAGAGATGACTTAAAGTACTTGGGAGGATGTGCATAGGTTATACGTAAACACTATGCCATTTTATATAAGGGACTTGAGCGTCTGTGGATATTGATACCATCCAGAGGTCCTGGAGCCAATCTCCAGGAGTTTGTTCATTTCTCACTGACAATTCACAGTAGTTTGATCTCTAACATGGGATCCGAATTGGACAAATTATTTTTTCCAGAATTTATTATTTATTTATTTTAAACTTTTCATTGAAATATAAAGTATGTATCGAAATGTACACATTAGATTAAATGTACGGCTTGATGAGTTTTAATAAACTGCCCCCTGTGTGACCAACACAAAGAATAGCTAGTGCTTTTATTTATTTTTGCAAATTTCTTTACGTCTGTTGCTCATGATCAAATACTTTCCCTACGTAAATGTCAACAAATTCACTCTATTTTCCACTTTACCATGCTTGTGAAAAAGAATGAATTGTTCCCCATTGTAATGAATCAATATGCTGATGATATATTCCAGAAACAAAATATGCAGAACACGACCCTTTGAAACTATGAATTCAGCCTGATTTTACAAAGTAAAGGAAATTATCTCCATAATAGAATCAACTACTGGAAGATCTTGAGCATACACAGATTTGGATTTTGGCAAGATAATATTGCTTCACATCAGCAAAATGCCCAGATAATTATGAAAGAGGATAGAAGTCCTTATTCCAAGCAAAATTGTTCTTTTTCACATAATCTGAGTTCAGTAAATTCCTACTACATTGTTATCCATCCAACATACTTTACTCCACATTTTACCTCTTTTTAAGTATTTCTTTGGAATTCTAAAGATGAAAACATTCATTTTGTCACCTTTTCTTTGTTCCATTTGAGGGAGATCTGTGCTCCATTGCAAATGGTGCCTCTATTACTATTACTATTATACTATATTGCGGTAAGAATGTGGGATTCTGTCCTGCCTAATTTAGCAATTATCTGAAGTCCAGACTCTTTAACTTAAATTACCTTTATTTTAACTTAGGTGACTAATAGTTACTCACCTATCGTTCCTTTTCCCTGTTTGTCTTTCGTCAATCATTTGGATTTGCTAGTCCCTTGGAAACTTCAATGCTGATTCTCATTGAAGTGTTTTAAGGATGCTGAATCAACACATGTCATTTTAAGTCCTGCATCCTAAGACTTTTCACCCATTGTAATAGCTACATGTATATCTAGAGTCTTAATAGCAACAGATGTTGCCAGCACTCATGGGTAGACTATGTCTTTTAAGTTTTCCTTATGTGTATTCTACTACAGTGACTTATGCAATTAGAGTTTTAGGAAAGCTAATAGATGTATTTTAAGTTTTTAAATTTTACCTTTCTTACCACATGTGAAGGCTTAATGATGTCTGCAGTCATCCATATGCCATCTTGTAGATCTCCAAGAGTGATTCCTGACATGTGAAATTATAGGGAAAATATGGCTTTTGATGAATAAACCAACAATGAAATTGTAGCACATTTTATGATCACTTATGGATATAGCAAAAACAAAAACAAACAAAAAACTACCACTTCTTAATGTCAGATTATGTAGTGTATAAAAGGCTCCAGGAGAGATATAGTATGCCTGATACTTATACCTGTGTATTAATTCCAGCATTTGGAAAGTGCTTTCAAAACATATGCCAAAGAAAGATGACAAATTACCAAAGCATCTGTTCCCTGGGGAAAAAATTGCAAGAATAAGCAACAAAATATAATAACTTAATTTTAAACATACATGGAGCCAGAGATAATACATGAGCAGCTTAATTCTGCCCTTCTCTTTAATTAATTCGAGAAACAGAAAAAAATAATTGACTCTTTGTCTGTGTTACCATTTGTCAGTACAAGAAAAAAAGAATAATGCATTGAGCCTTCTGTATTTCTCACTGTTAAGGATCTCTCTTTGTCCATTGTTTAGATTTTCAGCAGAATTTCATTTCTGGACATATGATTCAGAAGGCATGATACTGTAAGCAGAATCTGTCAATCACTCAGCATGGCTCCTGATTGCACTTCGTGGTGGAAAGATTGAAGTTCAGCTTAAGAATGAACATACATCCAAAATCACAACTGGAGGTGACGTTATTAATAATGGTCTATGGAATGGTACGTTTGCAGATTTTATCAATATTTTCCCACTTTGATGCAGTTTGTATAAAATCATAATTTATTTTTATAGAGATACCAAACCAAAATGGATTTGGAGTTATCTGATTCTATATGAGGTATATTCTACATACTGTAAATCCCTGAAACATCCTGAGAAATAATATTCTCACTTAATATATTAGAATCATTGTTTTTAGTTATTTGCTTGAACTACTCTGTCTTTAACTTTTTACCTTTTTTAGTGGCTGTTTGGCGAACAGTGGTGTTAGGGATTATTAGGCAGCCTAAATTTTTTTTTTTTTTTTGAGATGGGGTTTTGCTCTTGTTGCCCAGGCTGGAGTGCAGCGGCGCGATCTCAACTCACTGCAACCTCCACCTCCCGGGTTCAAGCGATTCTCCTGTTTCGGCCTCCCGAGTAGCTGGGATTACAGGCATGTGCCACCACGCCCAGCTAATTTTGTGTTTTTAGTAGAGATGGGGTTTCTCCATGTTGGTCCAGCTGGTCTCGAGCTCCTGACCTCAGGTGATCCTCTCATCTTGGCCTCCCAAAGTCCTGAGATTATGGATGTGAGCCACCACACCTAGCCTTTCTTTTCTTTTTTTTTTTTTTTTTTTTTGAGACAGACTCTCATTCTGTTGCCCAGGCTAGAGTGCTGTGGCATGGTCTTGGCTCACTGCAACCTCCACCTATGGGTTCAAGAGATTCTTGTGCCTCAGCCTCCTGAGTAGCTGGGATTACAGGTATGCAACAGCATACCTGGCTAATTTTTGTAATTTTAGTAGAGACAGGTTTCACCATGTTGGCCAGGCTGGTCTCAAACTCCTGGCCTCAAGCTATTCACCAACTTCAGCCTCCCAAAGTGCTGGGATTACAAAAGTGAGCAACCACACCCGGCTGGCATAACAATTTATGCAAAGATACCACTGATCAAAGAAAACTCTCCTCAATTGCCAATAATTTTTTTAAATTAAGGAGAAATAAACATAGTAACAAATTCAAAAAGGTAATTCAAATTCAAATATAAGCAGATAGATAAGTAATCCTTTAAAAAAAATAGACACAGGGTCTTGCTGTGTTGCCCAGGCTGGTCTTGAACTCAAGGAATCCTCCTCCCATTTTGGCTTCCCAAAGTGCTGGGATTACAGGCATAAGCCATTGTAGCAGACCTAGTAGTCAGTTTTTGTGAAAGCGATATACAGTAGCAGGTACCAGTGTGCTTAGAAATTAGCATTTTAGGCTGGGTGCAGTAGCTCACACCTGTAATCCCAGCTCTTTAGGAGGCCAAGGCAGGTGGATCACCTGAGGTCAGGAGTTTGAGAGCAGCCTGATCAACATGGCAGAACCCCATCTCTACTAAAAATACAAAAATTAGTCAGGCTTGGTGGCACACACCTGCAATCCCAGCAGGAGAGTCGCTTAAACCCGGAAGGCTGAGGTTGCAGTGAGCCATGATCGTGTCTCTGCACTCCAGCCTGGATGATAAAGCAAGAATCTGTCTCAAAAAAAAAAAAGAAAGAAAGAAAAGAAATTAGCATTTTAATTTAATCCTACATATAGCCTTTATTCTAATGATCAAGAATAGCACTTTAATCAACTGGATTAAAGTGGGACTTTTCTGAAGGGATTACTGCTAGTTGATAGTGGGGAGAAGTCTTTTCTGAAGTACAGAGTCATTGCTGCCATCAGCAGAGGATAGTGGAGAGAAAATTGGCTTCACCTTAGAATGTGGTGCACAAAAGAGACATCTTTTATGCCTAGAGGAGCTGGCAAGAAGTTTTTGCTGATGTCAATTTATTTATTTATGTTATTTATTTATTTATCATCACTATAATTATTATTATTATTATTATTATTATTATTATTTTGAGACAGAGTCTTGCTCTGTCGCCCAGGCTGGAGTGCAGTGGCATGATCTCTGCTCACTGCAACTTCCACCTCCCGGGTTCAGGTGATTCTCTTGTCTCAGCCTCTCGAGTAGCTGGGACTATTGGTGCCTGACACCATGCCCGGGTAGTTTTTGTATTTTCAGTAGAGATGGGTTTCACCATGTTGGCCAGGATGGTCCCGAACTACTGACCTCAGGTGATCAGCTCTCCTCAGCCTCCCAAAGTGCAGGGATTACAGGTGTGAGCCACTGCACCCAGACAAGAAGTTTGTATTGAGAAGTCATGTGAGGTCATCACTAAATTATTTTGGTCCTTCTTTTATGCAGACATGCACTCATTTATTCAATAAGCTTTTAGTGAGTGCTTTTGCTACTAAGTTCCTGAGTTCAAGGCATTAGAACGATAGTATATCAGGAGAACCTGCCTCAAATATTTCAGCGTAGGTTCTTTCTATTTTCCATAAGTGTCAGCTGGCTGAGAAATAAAGAGAAAGAGTACAAAGAGAGGAATTTTACAGCTGGGCCTCTGGGGGTGACATCAGATATCAGTAGGACTGTGATGCCCACCTGAGCCACAAAACCAGCAAGTTTTTATTAAGGATTTCAAAAGGGGGGGTGTGTAATAACAGGGAGTAGGTCACAAAGATCACATGCTTCAAAGTGCAAAAAGGAGAACAAAGATCACATGCTTCTGAGGAAACAGGACAAGGGCAAAATCAGAAACTACTGATAAAGAGTCCAACAAAGATCACAAGGCAAAGGGCAAAAGCAGAATTATTGATAAGGGTCTATGTTCAGCGGTGCATGTATTGTCTTGATAAACATCTTAAACAACAGAAAACAGGTTTTGAGAGCAGAGAACTGATCTGACCTCAAATTTACCAGGATGGGTTTTTTCCCCACCCTAGTAAGCCTGAGGGTACTGCAGGAGACCAGGGCGTATTTCAGTCCTTTTCTCAACTGCATAAGACAGACTCTCGCAGAGCAGCCATTTATAGACCTCCCCCAGGGAATGCATTCCTTCCCCAGGGTATTAATTATTAATATTCCTTGCCAGGAAAAGAATTCAGCAATATCTTCCCTACTTGCACGTCTGTTTATAGGCTCTCTGAAAGAAGAAAAATATGGCTGTATTTTGCCCAACCCCACAGGCAGCCAGACCTTATGGTTGTCTTCCCTTGTTCCCTAAAATCGCTGTTATTCTGTTCTTTTTCAAGGTTCACTAATTTCATATTGTTCAAACACACGTTTTACAATCAATTTGTACAGTTAACACAGTTGTGGTCCTGAGGTGACACAGATCCTCAGCTTACGAAGATAAGATAAGGATTAAGACATTAAAGTAAGACAGGTGTAAGAAATTATAAGAGTATTATTTGGGAACTGATAAATATCCATGAAATCTTCACAATTTATGTTCCTCTGCCGCGGCTCCATCCAGTTCCTCCATTTGGGGTCCCTAAATTCCCGCAACAATAGCAGGAGATTTTCCTCACTCTAGAGCTTAGTACCTCACAGATAAGTAGCTGGTGCTTCTTTGGGAAATAATATAATGTAACGTGAAATATATTACAGTAGAGGTATGAACAAAGCACACTTGGGCAAACGTGGTGAATTTATAAATGATTACATCTTATCTTTGATTATGAGTCTAATATTAACAGGAATTTTAATTGTAAATGTATCATAATTCATTCAGCAAAATATTTATTGGCACTTCTATGTGCTAATCCTTACTCTAGGTGGTAAAGATACAACAGCAAATAAAAAGAAGTCAGTGCTCTTATGGAGCTTGCATTCTAATGGTGAGATGCAAACAACAAATGCATGAAAAAATAAATATGCCAGATAGTTATTCATGTTATAAGGAAAAAGAAAAACCAGGCAAAGACATAGAGAGTGATGGTGGTTAGTATGCATATAGAATCAGGAAAGGCATCTCTGATGAGATTAGATCTGAGCTGAGACTTGAGAGCACATGTCATGAGAAATACATGAGGGAATATAAAATGATTCTGTACCATGTGAACAGCAAGTACAGAATTTCTTGGAATAGGATATGTTTGGTATTTGAGGAATAATACAAAGAGTAATGTAGCAGCAGGGGAGAGTAGTTAGTTAGAAAATGAGGTTAGAAACGTGGTCTAGAATAAGATCATCTAGGGCCTTGGGGGCTATGATGAGGATGTGGATTTTATGCTAAATGGACAAGCCCTGGATGGTTTTGAGAAGGGACATGATCTAGTTTGCATTTTAAAAGATAATCCCGATCAGAAGCTGATGGCTTTGTGGAAACCAGAATGAGAGTAGAACAGGATATGGAGTTAGGAGACTGTTGGAATAACCCAGCGGAGAGAAGATGACAGCTTTGACTGGTGTGCTGATGGTAAGAGTGGTAAGAAGTGGTCAGATTCTGGATATATTTTTAAAGTTAAGCGTTCAATTCAAATTTTTGAATACTCAGCATAAAGAGGGGTTTTAAGGCCATGAAACTGTTTGTGTTGACCAGTGGTTCCAAACACTATCTCATCCAATGTCTGAAAATATATAATGCTCCTTTACTATTCTATAACGAAATGTATCAATAATGTAAACTACCTTCACATATACCCAATCAAAACCAATCTAATGCTCTCATTATTATATTAATATGGATAAATAAAAGGACGGTAATTTAGAAGAAAATAATATGTATTTCAATATGTACGTAGTCAACTATAACGACAACACTAGTCAAAGCTTGCTTCTATGCATAAAGCAAAAGCTACAAATGAAGACTAATGCTGGGGAGTTATATTAGCAACTCAAATACCATTAAGTGCATACATGGTGTTGCCATTGGTAATATTAACTTCCCAAAGTGGTGAGAAGTTCCTGGTAAAGATATTAACAAAACAAATATCAATCTATTCTTAGTTTTCAAGATTATTACATTCTTGAAAAATGTAATGAATGCTAAAATAGTGCAGCAAATATTTTGTGTCTATGTATGTACAAACTCAGATGATTGTAAGCATGAATATTACCTACATGAATACCTAGCAGGGGTGTTCAAAAGATTTTAAGAATACTTGATATTTTATTTTTAGTTCTGCATTACTTATTATTATTAATTCTGCATGACTAGCCTATGTACATAATGCAGATTGTCTATCATCTTGCAATGCCAGCATGGCCCCTACTCATTGTGACAAATAAAAGTGTTCCTCACCTCCAAATTTTCCAAATGCCCTGGAGTGGAATCATGGTGTCTCACTTAAAATACTTGCATGGCTACAGGAAAAAGATCTGGGGCCTGAGCTGTGGGAAGGGGAAGATCCAGCAAAGGAGACTGAGAAGTAGTGGTTAGAGTGTAGAAAGAGAAGCAAGCAGGGTCAGGTGTTGTAGGCTAAGTTAAGAAAGTCTGTAAAGGAGAGAATAGTTATTCACATGCTGCTAATTGGCTATATTAAAGAAGGAGTGTTGACCAACTTTAAATTTGTGTTTCTAAATTTATTTTATGTTGGAGGATAGTTTTTCCTTTCCTATCATGGTGTTTTAATATGCTTATTGTTTGGCTTATATCATTGGTTAGTGAGTGAAGAGTTTGCTCTTTGAGTGCTATAGTTTTACTTGAAGCGATTGCAGCAGTGGTTCTTCAAATTGTCTTTGTGGAAGGAATTTTTATTGTTGTTTATCCTTACTTGAAACCTTTTTTAAAAACCCAAACAACTCTCAAAATTGGGAAACTCCAATTTATGTATTTTTTTCTTATTGCCTCAATCATTTTTGAATTTTAAAGAAAGAATAATTTGTGTGCAATTAACAGAATACTGAACATATTGATTTTTCTTACTTTATATTAAGAACTGATTTACACTGTTGATTCCATATGTGTATTATCAGACAATTGCAAAATAAGACCACTTAAATTTTTCCTAAGATAAAATGGCTCACTTAACTGTTAATTTTCTAGCAGCCGGGAATTGAAAGATGTATAACGGGATGTTTAAGCTTAACAGAATAGTATTTTTTTTAACTTTAAAATATGGTACACTCTTAAATTTTGATCAAGTACTGCCAATATAGGGTGCTGCCACCCTAAATGCCTTTTTATCACATTTATCATAATTTGACATTCCAAATGAGTTGTAGCAAATTAATAATTACATTAAAATGATTACAGAAGTATTTTATTGGAATAATAACATAATTTTTAGATCCCAGTATTTCAAATGACACGTAGTAATGCTTGGTTATTTGGTAAGTTTTCTTTTTAATTGTAGGTGTCTGTGGAAGAATTAGAACATAGTATTAACATTAAAATAGCTAAAGAAGCTGTGATGGATATAAATAAACCTGGACCCCTTTTTAAGCCTGAAAATGGATTGCTGGAAACCAAAGTATACTTTGCAGGATTCCCTCAGAAAGTGGAAAGTGAACTCATTAAACCGGTAATTATCCAAGCTTGTATCATTCATCATGGATGAGTTCCTTTTGTCTATAATAGATTTGAATATGTGTTTTTCTGAGAGTCAATAGAAGTTGTTTTGTTAAGCATACTAAATGTGACGACTTGAAATGATCATGGAAGAATAACATTAGTAACCCTTGAAATTATATTAATGAAATAAAAAAATGATGTAGTGGTTTTGTGCCCATTTAAATCCTCAGCATAAATCATGAAGTGGATTTCTAAAATTCTCAAATTAACACTTGAGAATGTTAATACTACAGTTCAGTGTTAACATCATGATAATCCATACTCAGTCATTAAACATATAAATTCATATATTTAAGTCCAAAATTATGCTATTTTGTAAAAGCCAGTCAGAGGACTTTCTCAAGTCTATTTTTAGGACTTAAATGCAAGAGCTAAAGAATAGCACATAAGGTGAAATTTATTGTTTAAAAAATACCTCTTTACTGAGGGTACAACTATAGCCTGTCACAAATTGAAATTAGATATAATACATGTTTTTCTAAATATAATATTTAATAGCTATAGAATAGGTTTCATGAAAGAGACTAACCACTAACTCTTCAAAGAATTTTAAAAATTTCATTTGAAGTCACAGCCCTGCCAGATACACTTGTTGATTAACTTAAATATTTACTATCTTATATCCGTCTTTCATTCCTGGCAATTCGTAGTTACTTTAACTTTTAAAAGATTTCTATTATATGATATTAAGCTTGAATTAATTAACCCATGTTGACATGAGTATACCTGTTGTTTGAAACTGAGAAATTAATACACTTTAAAAGTAAAATAAATTATTCAAAAAGTATCAATCATTTATGAAATGGCTTTTACATGTCTTGAGCCTGGCAGCATGCTTGATGGAGGCTAAAGAATGCAAACACTTTTGTGTCTGAAGAGACTTAGAGTCTGATTGGCAAGACAAACCCATATTATAAATGCCACTAAATAAAAACAAGACCAGGCACGGTGGCTCACACCTGTAATCCCAGCACTTTGGGAGGCCGAGGCGGGTGGATCACCTGAGGTCAGGAGTTCAAGACCAGCCTGGCCAATGTAGCAAAACCCCGTCTCTACTAAAAGTACAAAAATTAGCCAGGCGTGGTGGTGGGCACCTGTAATCCCAGCTACTCAGGAGGCTGAGGCAGGAGAATCGCTTGAACCAGGGAGGCAGAGGTTGCAGTGAGCCAAGATCCTGCCACTGCACTCCAGCAAGACCCCGTCTCAATCAAACAAACAAAGAAGATAAACAAGACATCTTAGAGACCAGGGCCACAGCTAGAAGCAAATATAGAACTTGAAAGCAGAAAAGTTACCACTGGATGATGTAGGAGAGGCAGGTGGGGCTTGAAGTGTTAAAAATCATTAAGATCCGCTGAGGGCTTGTGATAGTATAAGCTCGCTTGTACTGAAAAAGACTGTCCATCTGAAGAATACTTTGAAAAGGAAAACTTAAATAAAATTCAAAATATTTTCAACTATTATCAAAGAAAGGATTTTTTTCTCTTAATGAAAACCTATACTCAAAATCAAGCCACTGTTTAAGTTTAAAATGCACTCCTTGACTTATATTTTAATTTGTTAGATTAACCCTTGTCTAGACGGATGTATATGAGGCTGGAATTTGATGAAGCAAGGAGCTTCTGGAATAAAGGAAATTATTCAAGAAAAACAAAATAAGCACTGCCTGGTTACTGTGGAGAAGGGCTCCTACTATCCTGGTTTTGGAATTGCTCAATTTCGCGTAGATTATAGTAAGTGATTTTCCATTTATCTCTATTTTCTCATTAATGAGTAAATTTATTCATCAACAAACAGTAATAATTTGTGAAACATTACTATCTACTGTGTGCCCACTCTAGTCTTATGCTTATTCATACTATTATATAACTTTTACAAAAATTTTTCAGTGTATTGGGAAAAATATAAAGGCATTTGAATGTGCTCGTGTTGTTATTTCAGGTTTATCGGTAGGTAGCCTGATTCCTTTTGGGTAAATTCAATTGACTTATTTTAAAGTTCACTGATTTCTCACTTGTATAGAGTCTACCAATGAATGCATCAGAAAGATTCATCTTAATTTCTAGCATTTCTATTTGATGCTTCCTTAAAATTTCTACCTCCCTGTTGAAATTCCCTATCTGTTCACACTTGTCCAGAATGGGTACTGAGCTTTCAATGTATTCATCATAATTATTTTAAATTCCCTGTCTCATAGTTCCAGCTGTGTCATATCTGGGTCTGGTCATTTTGTCTGCTTTGTCCCTTGACCAAGTGTTGTTTTTCTTGCATCTTTGTGTATCATGTAATTTTTGGTTTAGATTTGGGCATCTTACGTATAACAGTAGAGACTGAGATGAAGAATATTTGTGTCTGGAAATGAGCACACTTCTTTTGCTAGGCTGTTAGTAACAGGATTGAATCAATCTAGTGAAAAGCTGAGCTTCTTAAGTTTTGTTGGTGCCAGGATTACCCTTAACGCACCACACGTTTCAGATCTTTCATTTTGTTTTGTTTTGTTTATGAGATGGAGTCTCACTCTGTCACCCAGGCTGGAGTGCAGTGGCACGATCTTGACTCACTGCAGCCTCTGCCTCCTGAATTCAAGTGATTCTTCTGCCTCAGTCTCCTGAGTAGCTGGGACTACAGGCAACCACCACCACGCCTGGCTAATTTTTGTATTTTTGTATTTTTGGCCAGGCTGGTTTTGAACTCCTGATCTCATGATCCACCTGCTTTGGCCTCCCAAAGTGCTGGGATTACAGATGTGAGCCATTGCACCCAGCCTCAGATTTTTTAAATACAACCTTCTGCTTAAAATAAGGGAATGGTTTGCTAGGAAGTTTTTCTTTTTCTTTTCTTTCTTTTCTTTTCTTTTCTTTTTTTTTTTTTTTTTTTTGAGACCGAGTCTCACTCTGTTGCCCAGGCTGCAGTGCAGTGCCACAATCTAGGCTCACTGCAACCTCCACCTCACAGGTTCAAGTGATTCTCATGCCTCAGCCTCCTGAGTAACTGGAATTATAAGGGTGCACCACCATGCCCTGCTAATTTTTGTATTTTTGACGGGGTTTTGCCATGTTGGCCAGGCTGGTTTCAAAAACTCCCGACCTCAGGTGATCTGCCTGCCTCAGCCTCTCCAAGTGCTGATATTACAGGCTTGAGCCACCGTGATTGGCCTAGAGAGTTTTTCATCCTAGCAGCTCAGTTTTATGTATTCCCTCCATAATATGCCTCAAGAAAATGTCTCTCCCACTTGTGTCTCTCAAGTGTCTTGCCCACCCCCAGCAGAGTGCTCTTGTTACTTGACTTTTGCTAACATGGCAGAGAAGATGCAGAGGTTGGGGAAGCATTCTATGTTGTTCTCATACAAATTCAGTCTTAGGCAGGTGTTGTATCCCTGGGTCTCAGGAGTGTGGAATTTTCACTGTTCCTCTTCCCTGACTCTCATCAGTAGGGGAGATGTCTAATGATCAGGACTCAAGATGGTTTCTTGCTCCTTCTCCATGATAGATAGCTTTGTTTGTTCTTCCTAATCTGTAGTTGCAATGAGTCTTCATATGTGTCCTAATGACAAAGTTTGCTGCCTTTCTCCTGGGTTCAAAACTTGTGTTGTGTAGAGGAGACTGAGAAGGATCTAGGTGGGGCTCTGTGGATTCCCTGTAGCAGGTGCTGCTTTCAGGACCATATTAAGAGAGAGACTTTCTCAGGTCTCCTTCCCTGCACTCTGTTTTCTCTTGAGTGCACAGTAATCTGTGGAGAAGAGCCTGTGAATGAGCATGAATTGTCTTTGTGTCTGTAGTTTCTAGGGCTTCTAAACTCTTACATCAGCCCCCACATGGAGTTCACCAATTTGCTTAAATCTTTACCTAAATTATTTTTACCAAATTGCATGGCATCTCCTGTCTGCCCTGGGTTAGAAAGTGTTCTCATTCTGGTTGTCCTTGGAAACACCTGTCTTTCTTTAGGTTTCTGGTTAGTTGTTTGTTGCTCTGTGACCTCAGCTCTTTGATAGTTCCAAGAAAAGTCGTGATTATGCAAATAATTTGGCTTTTGTTGTTGTAAGGGTGGGAGTGGTGCTCTTTCCAATTTTCTACAGCCTAAGTGGAGCAGGGAGTCTTGCCACACTGACCCTATGGTTTTAACCTTATAAATAATACTTCCGTGAACATCCTAAAACATACATCCTTCTACCTTTATGTGATTAATTCTATGGAAGTAAATTTTAGAATTAGGTTATTTCTATCAAAGGTTATGCAAATATATAATTATTAGAGGTTCAATTACATTCTTTTCCAAAAATCTTTTATCAATTAATATTTCTACCAACAGAATGAGAAAGTGTATGCTTTAGCTTTTTTCCAATCTGATAGTTTAAAAATTAAATTTTGTAGGTTTGAATATTAATATTATTTCCCTAATTTCTACTGAACTTGAATAACCTCCCATATGTTTATTAGCTATTTATATATTCTAATTATTTTATTGAATTCTTTTTCTTTTTCTTTTTTAGTAGTTCATTATTTGAGCTACTAACACTTTGCATTATAAATAGTTAGTATTAATGTGATATCTCTGCTTTAAGAAAAAAATTACACTTTAATTGTGTTTATTTGTAACTTAAAAAGGGCAAGGTAAGGTGGCTCACACCTATAATCCCAGCACTTTAGGAAGCTGAGATAGGCAGATCCCAAAGAGCTAGAGCCCAAGAATTCAAGACCAGCCTTGGCAACATGGTGAAACCCTATCTTCACAAAAAATGCAAAAATTAGCCAAGCCTGATGGCATGTTCCTGTAGTCCCAGCTACTCAGGAGGCTGAGGTGTGAGGATGGCTTGAGCCCAATAGGTCGATGCAGCAGAGAGCCAGGATCTTACCACTGCACTCCAGCCTGGATGACAGAGTGAGAGCATGTCTCACAAAAAAAAAAAAAAAAAAAAAAAAAAAAAAAAGAAGAAGTGTTTACTACATTAAAACAAATTTTTAAATTTTTATGTAATTAGGAGGTACAAGTGCGGATTTCTTACATGCATATATTGTGATATATTTTGTAGTGGTGAAATCTGGGCTTTCAGTGTACACATCACCCAAATAGTGAATATGATACCCAATTGGTAATTTTTCAACCCCTACCCTCCTCCCACCCTCCCATCTTTCATAGTCTGTATTTACTACATTTGTTTGTTTGTTTTTGAGATAGGGTCTCTCTCTGTCATCCAGGCTGGAGTGCAGTGGTGTAATCATGGCTCACTGTAACCTAGACCTTCTGGGCTCAAGCAATCTTCCCGCCTCAGTCTCCCAAGTAGCTAAGAAGACTACAGCCACATGCCACCATGCCTTGCTAATTTTTATGTTTTGCAGAGACAGGGTCTTCCTATGTTGCCCAGGTCAGTTTTCAAACTCCTTAACTCAAGTGATCCTCCTGCCTCAGCCTCCCAGTTCTGGTATTACAGGCATGAGCCACTGTGCCCAGCCTTTTTTACTACGTTTTTAAGGACAAATTTTACAAAAATGATTTCTCTTTTTCTAACATGTATTAATACAATGCCTAGTTCTGTTCTGCCTATGAAGGATTGTTTTAAAGTTATAAATGGGGTGAGGATTAAATTAGGATAAAACTAAATCCATGATGATTTGGCCAAAGGAAAAAAATCCTGAAAAGGTAATGAAAATAAGAGTTACATTGTATCTAAAAAAATTACTTTAATAAGTAATCAATCATTTCATGGATAATTTGTAAGTGATCTTTGTAATTAATATTTAATGTTACATTTTAACTTCTCTGCATTTGCGTGTTCATTTTAGTTTGAATTGAATATTCTGTATTAAATTTACTTATTTCAAGATAAATGTTTAGGTGATAGAAATTCCAGTTACCCTGATTTGAACATTACACATTGTATGCATTTATCAAATGACATATCTACCCCAAAATATGTACAATTATGACATATCAATTAAAAATTACTTATTTCACAATGATTACATGTAAACATTCTTCTTTTTTTGGAGACAGAGTCTCACTCTTTTTCCCAGGCTGGAGTGCAGTGGTATGATCTCAGCTCACTGCAACCTCTGCCTCCTGAGTTCAAGCGATTCTCCTGAATCAAGCCTCCCGAGTTGTAGCTGGGACTACAGGTATACACCACCATGCTCAGCTAATTTTTTGTACATTTTTTTCAGTAGAGATGTTTCACCACGTTGCCCAGGCTGGTCTCGAACTCCTGAGCTCAGGCAATTCCAAAGTGCTAGGATTACAGGCATGTGCCACCGCACCCGGTCTATATATTTTTTTCTTCTGGATGGGAGTTACAGGATTATAATGAAAAACTTAGTGACATTATATGTGGCTAAGTGGAAGAACATCTTGTCAAAGGAAAATTATTTTCCTTATTCACATTTACCCTTTCAAGGGCTCCGTATGGTATTTGGGCTTTGCTATACATTACATCATATTAAATGAGGAAGACTTCATTCAGATTATGAACTATTATTTTTAGTAATCCAACTACTCTGGAAACATATTAATTCAACAAATATCTATTGAGCGACTGCTGGGAAAAACAAAGCAATGATGGAGACATATACCTCCTAGAGCTTGCACGTTATTGGGATAGACAATTAACCTAGTAATTAAGAAGGAGAATGTGAAGGATTATGACAAGAGATTCACAAAACAAGGGTTCCCATTCTGATTTCAAAACTAACTGCTGATGTCAGTGTATTTCTCTAGTATCGAACTATCCAACTCTCCTGTGTATATAAATCATACATAAATCATCCTTTGGAGTGATGATGGCAACTGTACCCAGATTTTCCCTAAATTATTACAGTAAATTTGTTGAACTTTCAAACGTGTACTTGGAAATATGACCACTTTGAGATTTGAGCATTGGCGAACATGGAAGAGAGAAGGAAGCACTGTTGTTAAAGAGCAAACCGGGAAAATCCATGATAATCCTTAACACTACAATCCAGAATTCTCTTCTAGGAAGAACGGGAAGATGGTACTCCATTTGCATGTTTCTTGCCTGCATTAAAAAAAAGTTTGTTTTGTTTTGCCTAGGTTATATAGATCATTGAGAAAGGGAAAAAAAATAGTATTACACAAGATAGTTTTGAATATTACCTGGACTGTATTAATAATAATTCCTCCTGGTGCACTTTAGGAGTGCATTGATCATGCTTCTGTTTCATTATTTTAAATAGATAATGTATCCAGTGCTGAGGGTTGGCATATAAATGTGACCTTGAATATTCATCCATCCATGGGCACTGGTGTTATGCTTGCCTTGGTTTCTGGTAACAACACAGTGCCCTTTGCTGTGTCCTTGGTGGACTCCACCTCTGAAAAATCGCAGGTAACTTAACTCTAAACCTAGATGAGCCTTGTTTTTCTTTTCTTTTTTAAAATAGATACATAGCAGTATTTACCTCAAAGGACGATTTTGAAGATCAAATAAAGTAACTTATGTAAAGTATTTGGCACAATCTCCAGCACATCATTAAAGACTCAAAAAATGTCTACTATTGTTACTTTTTTTCTGGCTTGTTTCCAAGGTCTGAATGAAGAAGTAAGGGGAGGGAGGAATGAAAAACCTACTGCATCTATACCTAAGATTAGGCAGACTCTCACACAGGCTGCTTGGAGCCACCCGAATAAATAGAGATCCACCCTTATTAAGAATCCTTTAAGCATCGTGGGAATTAGTCTGTGCTGTCAACATAGAAGTGAATCTAATTACAGTGCACTCTCAGATATTCAGTGCTTAATTATAATGTTTTGTTCTTTCTTACACTCTTAATCTTTTCTCCCAAGAGTAAGTTAGGAAAAAAGAGAGAAAGTTAAAACTGGTCCACTTGGTTTCTTAATGGCAACTCTTATTTGAAATTAGGAGGAAGAACATGAAAAAGCCTTAGATGAAAGGAAATATGAGGGTTATCAGAAAATCTGTATTATTCAGACTTCAATTAGAGCATAGTCGTTCTGTCTATGCGTCATACACAGTGCATTCCAACAAGTTACTGCAAGAACCTGACGTTTATGCCAAGGCTGACTTGGATGCTTTCAGTAGATTTTAGAAAGAGACCTATGGTTGAATAATGTCTATTGTAGTAAAACAAGTTATGCTGTTTGCAACTTAAAGTATGATTCAGGGAGGAGGATGGGAAGTTTCTGGTGGTTAACCATAAGTAACCTAAAAATATCCTGATGAGTTTGTTTTTGTTTTTGTTTTTGTTTTAATCTCCTGTCTTTAAGGAGCTTTCTACATTTGGATTTCAAGGGTTTTTTGTTTGCTAGTTTGTTTTTCTTTTTAAACAAAATGGAATTCCTATCTTCAACACTACATTCATGCAGTGGAGGAGGTTAACGCATGCAATGTCTTTGATATTTATTTTATCCTTTGAGTGTTTGCCTCCATGGTTCTTTCTTTGCATGTCATATTTTCTTCTCAAGGTCTATGCAATATTTCATAACATTATTCCAGATACCATTGATCATTTTGGAGCATTTTCTTTATTGACAATCTCTTTTAATGAGTTTAAGGATACGGACATGTACAACACAATAACAAATTACCTCAGGTAACCTATATTTGCAAAGTTAGTCTTTTCGCTTAAAATAGGTATCTTGGATTCCTAAACAAACATTTCTGACTATGTTTTTATCACTTTCCTCTATGCCATATAAGCTATATGAAGAGATCATACTCAACACATCGAGTAATTTAGGCATAACAGCAGTTTGAAAGGTTCAGCAGAATGAACACATTTTCTTTCTGTAGAATCTTCTGGTAAATGCTCTATAACGTCCTGGTGGCAATTCCTGGTTTTTCTTTCTCAGGGCCTCTTCACTTATTTTATCCCAAGTCTATAGGATTGCTTGTGTGGCACAAAGAAACCTGTTAGTCTTGCTGGCATATGCTTACTAAAGCATTTTAAATTTCCCAAGTCTTTTCTCAACAAAGAGTGATTCAACTCCTTCCCTTTTCATATGTAAACTTGGAAATTAGGAAGGCTCATAAACAGAAAGACATAAGACACTCCTATAGGTGCTGGTTGTTTTACTGAATTTTCAGAAACTAGTATACATTTATATTTTAGCTAAACTTTGAGTTTGTAAAACCAATGTGTATTTTAAATTTTAGTCATAATTATTATAAATTAGTCTTAACATACTTAGTAATTTTTCCCTTAAATTTAGAGGTGCTATCATACATTTTCTTTCCTTATTGAAATTTAGTTTTTGACTTTCAAAAACTCAAAAGTCACCCTTAAGCAGCATTACTCTTACTCCTTGCTTATATTGAATCTTTGCTCTACTCTTCAGGATATTCTGTTATCTGTTGAAAATACTGTAATATATCGGAAATAGGCCCTAAATCTATGTTCTGATCAACAATCTCATCTGGAATTTAGAGTCAACAGAAACAATCTGGAGTTGTTGATACCACTTAAAATAGAAACCATCTCCCATGAAGACCTTCAAAGACAACTTGCCATCTTGGACAAAGCAATGAAAGCAAAAGTGGTCACATACTTGTGTGGCCTTCCAGGTATCTGCTTACTTTTTCTTCAGCTTTAAAAAGTATATTTTAATCAAATTGATAATATTTTAAATATATAATTATAGTAAAAAAGCATCAGAAGGGAACATAAAATCCAGTATTCATTATTCTTTTTCTAGGGGCTAGAACCGACATTTTATTGGCATATTTTTGTTTTGTTTAGTTTAAAAATGTTGAACTAAGGCTGATCAAGTTTTGCTGCATTTGGCTATCCCAGCCAGAAAGGATATGTTATTTTATTTCGTCATCAGAATAGTCTTATAAGTTCAATATTTGTTCTTATTTACCCAATATTTATTCATCTATTACTCAGTTCATCTTATCATTTATCCAGCCTTTTTTTTTTTTTTTTTTTTTTTTGAGAAGGAGTCTGCCTCTGTCACCCAGGCTGGAGGGCAGTGGCGCGATCTCGGCTCACTGCAAGCTCCACCTCCTGGGTTCACGCCATTCTCCTGCCTCAGCCTCCCGAGTAGCTGGACTACAGGCGCCTGCCACCACACCTGGCTAATTTTTTTTTGTATATTTAGTAGAGATGGGGTTTCACTGTGTTAGCCAGGATGGTCTCAATCTCCTGACCTCGTGATCTGCCCGCCTCGGCCTCCCAAAGTGCTGGGATTACAGGCGTGAGCCACCGTGCCCGGCCCCATTTATCCAACTTTTATTGAGATCTTATGTCCAGGCTGGGCACGGTGGCTCACGCCTGTAATCCCAACACTTTGGGAGGCCGAGGCGGGCAGATCACGAGGTCAGGAGATCGAGACCATCCTGGCTAACACGGTGAAACCCCCTCTCTACTAAAAATACAAAAAAATTAGCTGGGCGTGGTGGCAGGCGCCTGTAGTCCCAGCTGCTCGAGAGGCTGAGGCAGGAGAATGGTATGAACCCGGGAGGCGGAGCTTGCAGTGAGCCGAGATCGCGCCACTGCACTCCAGCCTGGGCGACAGAGGGAAACTCTGTCTCAAAAAAAAAAAAAAAAAAAAAAAAAAAACCTTATGTCAGAGGTGCTCGCAACATAGTAATAAACAATCTAGTGGCAGAGGTAGACATTAAACAACTAATTAGGAAAATATCAAAATAATTAAAATTGTGATCACTTTTATGAGGGGAAAAGTATGGGTTGCTTTTAGAACCTGAAAATATGACTTCTCGCCTGGTCATGGGGGCCAGAAACAACTGGTCTGAGTAATAGACGACTAAATTATAAATCTGATACTGAACAGGTTAAATAAATTTAACCAGGTGTGGGAATGGGGATTGGAGTTATTATGCAAGCAAAATGTTCCATGTGTGGGCAAAGTGGAAGGGGATGACACGTTGGAGGAATCCGTAGGATATCAGTATGGTTAAAGCATAGTGAGCAAGGGAGATGGTAGTGTAGAGTGAGGCTGTGAACTGGGCGGTTGGATGGATTGTTTGTAGACCTAGTTCAGGATCGTAAGTCTTATAATGAGAGACATGAAACTATTAAAAGTTTTAGACAAGGAAGTAGTATAGCAATATTACAATTTTAAAAATTCACTCTGCATGCTGGATGGAGATGGATAGGTGGGAGACAAAAGTGGGTTTAATTGAGATGATCTGAGAGGCTATTCAGTAGTCCAGATGAAGAAGCAGTGACAATAGTTGTAGTATCTAAACCACCATCAACTGTTGCAAAACAAAGTCTGGCCACTGTTTGAAGTGCTTCAAATATATCCACTTGTTTAATTTTCAACATAGTCCAGTGAGGTAAGTGCTATTATTATCCCCATTTTACAGATGAGGAAACTGAGGAAGCTGCAGGACCAGGGTGATAACAATGAAGATGATGGACAGTGAATAGATCAGAGATACGTGTTAGAAACAAAATTAATAGGACTTAATGACTGAAAGACAGGTATAAGGATAATTTTTAGGTATCTGGCATGAGCAGTTGCGTGGATGGAGATTCCATTTACCAAGATGGGGAAAACTGGAGGAAAAGCAGATTCATCTTTAACTGAATATTAGAAAATATGAAATTGGCACCAATATTTCACTTTAAATGGAAAAAAAGAGGCAGAAAGTTATTTAGAAGCATTTTCAGATGACATTTGCAATTTATTCTCATGGGGAGAATTCTGAGTTTGATGTCTGGACCTCTGATAACCTTCAATATATTGCTTAAATTGCTCATGGTCTTGATTTCCCATATACGGAAATTGTATCTGGGGTTTTGGGAAATAGAAGTAAATAGGCTTTTAAAGCTATAGAAAGACAGATAGATAGATGATAGATAGATGATAGATAGATAGATAGATAGATAGATAGATAGATGATAGATAGAAAAATAGAGGTAAGTAGCGAGCATGCCTAATTATTAGGGAGTAAAATTATAGTTTAAATGAATAAATTCTATATTGAAATCTACCTACTACCTTATCCACAATTTAGTTGAATGCAATTTTAGGAAATCAAACCAACAAAGAGTTTAAAAGAAGTAGAATTATCAAAATTTCAGTGGTTTCGGGATTTTGGCAACAGCACTGAGGACTAACTTCAGGCAAAATGTCTTGAGAGAAAGAGTGGGGAAAATTTGAGAGGAGCTAAATATTGAGATATTAAGAGTATAAACTGTGGGATGGGTAAATTATTAATTGCATGCAAAGTAGGCATGTTAAATTTCATGTGAACTACTAAAACCCAAGAGAAATGGATGATTTTGAGTAATTTCTTTCCTCAGGAAACGAATGAATTTGAGTAATTTCTTTTCTCAAAAAAGGAAAAGTGGCATAATCTATGATGTTTAGCCCAGCTTCAAAGGGATTCTTAACAAATGCTATGAGCTCATAGTCATAGTAAAGTAGGAACTTTATTCACTGTGTTGGCAAGTTAGAAGTTGAAAATTTAAAGGTTTTTTTTTGGCATAAGGTACTGAAGATAAGGGCTAAAGAATATCCGTTGTGAGTTAAGATTAATGGAGAGGAGAGGCCAAAAAAGAGGAAGGAAAATTGTTATTTTTAGGAACTCTAAATAGTATATGAAAGTGAATCCTGTATCATGACCTATTGTATGCTCAACAAAAAATTATTTCTTTGGAAAAATACAGAAATCTGCTTTTATTCCAACAATAATAAAAGCGATATATTGATCATGACATTTAAAAGAGATTTCCAAGTAGCTATAATTTGGAGTTAAGAAAATGATTTAACAATGCTTAAACTATTGCTTAAGTTTAAAGAGAAAATAGTATGTTATTTGTATAATAAAAATAGAATATCACAAGAATATGCTTGTTTCTACTCTCCCTTAAATGTGTTTAAGTTTAAATGGAACTAATTGTGTTTATGAAATCCGAGGAACTCATGACATGCTGAATTCAATGAAGTACACTAACATGTATATCGGAGTCACTGAATGTATATTTATGGAATAGAATTTCATTATTAACTTTTCCTTTAGGATTAGAATTTGGTTGGAAATAGGAAGTCTGAATGACTTCTCTCACTGTAAACAAACAAGATGCTAAAAGTCTTGGACTAATATTCTAATATTTTACTTTTACAGATGTTCCATTCAGTGCCACACCAGTGAATGCCTTTTATAATGGCTGCATGGAAGTGAATATTAATGGTGTACAGTTGGATCTGGATGAAGCCATTTCTAAACATAATGATATTAGAGCTCACTCATGTCCATCATTTTGGAAAAAGACAAAGAATTCTTAAGGCACCTTTTCTCTGCTGATAATACCTTTTCCTTGTCTGTAATTATACTTATGTTTCAATAACAGCTGAAGGGTTTTATTTACAATGTGCAGTCTTTGATTATTTTGTGGTCCTTTCCTGGGATTTTTAAAAGGTCCTTTGTCAAGGAAAAAAATTCTGTTGTGATAGAAATCACAGTAAAGAAATTCTTCTCTTGCTATCTAAGAATGGTGAAAAATAACAATTTTAAATTTGAATTTTTTTCCTACAAATGACAGTTTCAATTTTTGTTTGTGAAACTAAATTTTAATTTTATCATCATGAACTAGTGTCTAAATACCTATCTTTTTTTCAGAAAGCAACGAAGTAAACTCAAACAAAAGTGCATGTAATTAAATACTATTAATCATAGGCAGATACTATTTTGTTTGTTTTTGTTTTTGTTTTTTTCCTGATGAATGCAGAAGAGATGATGGTCTATTAAATATGAATTGAATGGAGGGTCCTAATGCCTTATTTCAAAACAATTCCTCAGGGGGACCAGCTTTGGCTTCATCTTTCTCTTGTGTGGCTTCACATTTAAACCAGTATCTTTACTGAATTAGAAAACAAGTGGGACAAATTGTCCTGAGAGCAGCACAGGAATCTTACTTCTTGGCAGCTGCAGTCTGTCAAGATGAGACATCAGATTAGGTTGGATAGGTATGGAAATCTGAAGTGGGTACATTACTTAAATTTGGCTGTGTGGGTCACACAGGTCTACATTACAAAAGACAGAATTCAGGGATGGAAAGGAGAATGAACAAATGTGGGAGTTCATAGTTTTCCTTGAATCCAACTTTTAATTACCAGAGTAAGTTGCCAAAATGTGATTGTTGAAGTACAAAAGGAACTATGAAAACCGGAACAAATTTTAACAAAAGGACAACCACAGAGGGATATAGTGAATATCGTATCATTGTAATAAAAGAAGAAAGGAGGTAAGATTGCCACGTGCCTGCTGGTACTGTGATGCATTTCAAGTGGCAGTTTTATCACGTTTGAATCTACCATTCATAGCCAGATGTGTATCAGATGTTTCACTGAGAGTTTGTAAAAATAAATTCTTTTCACTGTATTTTATATCACTTATAATAAATTGATGTATAATTTTAAAATGCATGTGAATATCTTTATTATATGAACTGTTTGAATAAAACATAAAATTACATAATAGACATTTAACTCTTCATACAATGAAGTAGTTCTTCAGTTAAAAGACAGATAAAGCTCCAATATTTGAATAATATTTATGGTTGGGTGGTAGACTGGAGCTCAGAAGGTGAAGAGAAGCAAAAGTAACATGTATCTTTTGACACATCCCAGAAATTGTCTTGCTAAATATAAGTTTTTTCCCAATTGCCACCAGGTACTACGGGGGATGAATATCAGCAAGTGACTATTGATAATTACATTCATGTAAAAGAGCAAGGAAAAAGAAAAACTGAGAAAACATGAGAGAGGGGAAAAAAGAGTGAAAGAAAGGGGAGGAGTTGCCTGCTTCTCGTTTGATTATGCCACATACAGGTCAGATATAGGGATCAATTCTACCTTTTACATCAGGAGCAGAAACCTTCCCATACGCAATGATACTCATAGAGGCTCCAGAGACGCATTTATAAATTTCATCTACCTTTGAGATGTGCTCATACATGGCTAGAGAGAGGGTCTAGACCTATGGCTAAGAATCTTTGATTGATGTTTAATTTTCAACTTTGCCAAGAAATATAGATTCCTACTTTTAAAGAGTTGGTAGAGAACAAGGCAAAGTGGATATTTGGTGCCATTTCAGCTTTGTATATAAGTGAAAAAACTCCAAATAACAAAGCCATTACAGAATCCCTTAGAATTCACCTTTTGAAAAAGTTTTCTTTTTTCTTTTTACTTTTTGAACATGCTATGTGAGATGGTAATAGAACTTAACCATTTGCAGCAGTCAGTGATGGATCAGTGAAAGCACTGGTTAATCTGTAAGAACAGGACTATTCACCTCATTTCCCCTGTCTGAAAATATTATTCTAGTCTCAGTTCCTATCTGCCAGTACAATAAAGTATTTCCAATTTTCTTTTCATTTTAGAATTAAGGAACTGGTGGGATTACTGGAAAGAGGACTTTTTCATTTGAAAATTTATTTTTTCACAAAAGAATTGCCTATTTATTTTTGCATTCCCCTGGACCTTTAGTTGCTATCATTAGTGGGAACTGAAATAATAAAGAAGATGAATATCTGAGATAATTTTTAGATTTCATCATGTTGGTATTAATATTGATTTGGGAGATGACACGGTCACTAGAAACTCAAAGGACAAGTATGATCAATTTCTAATTCATTCATTCAGCAACAAATATTTATCAAGCACCTACTCTACTCTGTGCATGTGGAGTCAAAAGTAGTATCTCTGAGGGCTAAACTCAATGGAATAGGAAGTCACAATACTCAAGTTGGCCCTTGGTAGTCCTCAGGTTCCTGTTCCTTGGAGCTACAAAGCAGCTCTTTTCTGGTCATCCTAAGAAATTGAAGTGATAAAACTTTTGGTCGGCCAGGTGTGGTGGCTCACGCCTATAATCCCAGCACTTTGGGAGGCCCAGGCAGGCAGATCATCTGAGATCAGGAGTTCGAGACCAGCCTGGCCAACATGGTGAAACCCCGTCTTTACTAAAAATACAAAAATTAGCTGTGTGTGGTGGCAGGTGCCTGTAATTCCAGCTAGTCGGGAGGCTGAGGCAGGAGAATCACTTGAACCCGGGAGGTGGAGGTTGCAGTGAGCCAAGATTACGCCATTGCACTCCAGCCTGAGCAACAGGGTGAGACTCTGTCTCAAAAAAACAAACAAACAACAAAAAAAACTTTTGGTCAGTAGTTTGCTCCTTATAAAGAAGATTGTTTTGATGGTGTTCTTGCACACGAATTTCTTGCTATAGCAAGCTTTGAGCTTTCAGAGAACTTATATTTGAAAACTGGATCTTCTATGGCAGAGACATTGCTTAGGGGTTCATCTAGTGCTATACAAGATAACCTATGGCTATCTTGTATTTGTGTTTCCAGAATGCAAAGGTGGAGGCAGTTACCTGGGTCAGCATACATGGGTTTTGGGTACATATTATTAATAATATAAACGGTGCAAGGCCAGATTATGAGGTCAAACTGACAATGGAAAAAGATCTTAGCTTCAAGTTGTGAAGCTAAGAGTGTCAGAAATAGAGGGGAACTGAGTATGGGGAGGTTTGGAACAAGCTGAAAACCAGTGAGGTTGGAGGGTATTTCCTGATCCGCAGTCCATTACTCTGTAGCGCTTTGGACATGCCATGGTGTAGCAGTTGTCTTACCTGTGGATAAGATTAGCATTTGGTGAATTTACAGACTCATTTCTGCTAATCTACTTGCCATAACAAGCCCTCCTCCAAGAGAATCCTATTTTCATGGGAAAGAAATTGTAAAGTAATACCTGCAATTTGCTAGTGATTGATTCTCTTTCCTGCTAACATTTCCAACTGAGAAATCTGGAATCTCATTCTGTAATTGGGGTGTCCCCACTTGATAGATCAAATCATTCCTCAAGTTGATTTGAAGAGATGGGAGAGCGGGCCAATATTTAACTGACATAGGAAGAATCTGGCATTATTATCTGGAGTTCCCAAAAAATAAATATAAAAAAATTAATTTAAAGCCAAATTGAACACTCAGGCTGACACTGGATCTTCTGAAGATGAGCATCTTCCTTAGCCAACTCAGCAAGTACAGATGGCCACAGGGGACTAACAACTGGTTGTTCTGAAAAACAGGCACAGTCTTAGTCTGCCTTGTACATGTAGCTAGCCAAGTTGCAAAGCTGGGATTGCAAGGCAAGTTGCAAAGAGCCAGGATGTCTGGGTCAAGAGGCCACAACCAAATTTGAAACTACACAGTTCCCATATTCTTACTAGTTATCTCAGCACTTAGTCAATGGTACATGGTTGGAATGAACAATTCCAACAAATCTAACAATTGGTTGGATAGAACTAATTCTATCTCCAGTTCTACATATAACTGGTTGTGTCATTAAGTCTCAGTTGTTAATATTAATCATTTTAACATTTCAAAGATTAAGTATGATATTACTTAATTGAATGAAGCAAATGCTGACAATGACTCTGAACACTTAGATAATTAGAAGTGTGGGCTAGAAAGAATCCCAAGAAAACAATGGAGCAAATATCTTGGTACTGCCATCAATGTACTCAGTCCAGGGGAGAGCGGACACATGGACAAGTAATTAAAAAATGAGCCTGAGTTTGGTAAAGACTGAAATGCAGAAATAAACATTTGCAGGGGGTTCTGGGAAGGAGAAATGGATTCTAAACGAAAGCTCAGTGAGGTGCTATTTGATGAGGCCCAAAAAGACAGATATGAATCTCTGTTTGTTTCCCTGCATCCAAGTCCTGTCTTTGTGACCATCCCCTACAATGCTTTCAGATTCTCTCTCACACACAGATATCTTATTTCACTGAAGTCCTCAAAAATCTCCTTTCTTTTCCTATTGATTACTGCATGAGGTGAAAATAATTAATCTTGGCTTTCAAGGGGTTTCATCATTAAACCAGTAGATCTAAACCCAGGCTTATTAGATTCATTGACCCCTTTGCAAACAACTAAATCAGAAGATTCTCATGGGAAACCAGGGTTACAAACCACAGATTCAGTCTCTGTGGGTAGCTCTCTAACCTCATGCACTCCTCTACTTGCCTCTCCTGTCTTCTGTGCACATGTGAGGGTGTGCATACACGACGCACACACACACATACACAGACAAGAACAGACATAAAGCCAAAGAATGAATTAAAAAACAGGACAGGAGGCTGGGTGCTTTGGCTCATGCCTGTAATCCCAGCACTTTGGGAGGGTGAGGTGGGCGGATCACGAGCTCAGGAGACTGAGACCATCCTGGCTAACACGGTGAAACCCCATCTCTACTAAAAATACAAAAAAAATTAGCTGGGCATGGTGGTGGGTGTCTGTAGTCCCAGCTACTCCGGAGTCTGAGGCAGGAGAATGGCATGAACCCGAGAGGGGGAGCTTGCAGTGAGCCGAGATCACACCACTGCACTCCAGCCTGGGCAACAGAGCGAGACTAAACTACTTTAAAGTTCATGTGTAACCAAAAAAGAGCCCACATCACCAAGTCAATCCTAAGTCAAAAGAACAAAGCTGGAGGCATCACGCTACCTGACTTCAAACTACACTACAAGGCTACAGTAACCAAAACAGCATGGTACTGGTACCAAAACAGAGATATAGATCAATGGAACAGAACAGAGCCCTCAGATATAATGCTGCATATCTACAACTATCTGATCTTTGACAAACCTGAGAAAAATAAGCAATGGGGAAAGGATTCCCTATTTAATAAATAGTGCTGGGAAAACTGGCTAGCCATATGTAGAAAGCTGAAACTGGATCCCTTCCTTACACCTTATACAAAAATTAATTCAAGATGGATTGAAGACTTAAATGTTAGACCTAAAACCATAAAAACCCTAGAAGAAAACCGAGGCATTACCATTCAGGACATAGGCATGGGCAAGGACTTCATGACTAAAACACCAAAAGCAGTGGTAACAAAAGCCAAAATTGAGAAATGGGATCGAATTAAACTAAAGAGCTTCTGCACAGCAAAACAAACTACCATCAGAGTGAACAGGCAACCTACAAAATGGGAGAAAATTTTCCAAACCTACTCATCTGACAAAGGGCTAATATCCAGAATCTACAATGAACACAAACAAATTTACAAGAAAAAAACAAACAACCCCATCAAAAAGTGGGCAAAGGACATGAAAAGACACTTCTCAAAAGAAGACATTTATGCAGCCAAAAAACACATCAAAAAATGCTCCCCATCACTGGCCATCAGAGAAATGCACATCAAAGCCACAGTGAGATACCATCTCATACCAGTTAGAATGGCAATCATTAAAAAGTCAGGAAACAACAGGTGCTGGAGAGGATGTGGAGAAATAGGAACACTTTGACACTGTTGGTGGGACTGTAAACTAGTTCAACCATTGTGGAAGTCAGTGTGGCAATTCCTCAGGGATCTAGAACTAGAAATACCATTTGACCCAGCCATCCCATTACTGGGTATATACCCAAAGGACTATAAATCATGCTGCTATAAAGACACATGAACACGTTTGTTTACTGCAGCACTATTCACAATAGCAAAGACTTGGAACCAACCCAAATGTCCAACAATGATAGACTGGATTAAGAAAATGTGACACATATACACCGTGGAATACTATGCAGCCATAAAAATGATGAGTTCATGTCCTTTGTAGGGACGTGGATGGAATTGGAAATCATCATTCTCAGTAAACTATCGCAAGAACAGAAAACCAAACACCTCATATTCTCACTTATAGGTGGGAATTGAACAATGAGAACACTTGGACACAGGAAGGGGAATATCACACTCTGGGGACTGTTGGGTGGTGGGGAGAGGGGGGAGGGATAGCATTAGGAGATATACCTAATGCTAAATGATGAGTTAATGGGTGCAGCACACCAGCATGTCACATGTATACATATGTAACTAACCTTCATATTTTGCACATGTACCCTAAAACTTAAAGTATAGTAATAGTAAAATAAAATTAAAAAAAAAAAAAGAGAGAGACAAAAATGTAGCCCAGGGACCATTTGCTAAAGAAATTAGTATGGATAGAAGGGAGCCAGATGCTATTCCACAAGACAATGGAAGAAATACCTCCAAGGCATTTCAGATATCTTTGAAACTGCTCCTTTCATAACAGGCTAAGAGGTCTAGGAAGGCAGAATGGTTTTTGGGTACAGGCCTGGAGTGCCCTCCATAGGCTCCTTCACAGAGATCCCTTAGGTATATGCTGTCTATATTTCAGCACAGCACTCCTTGACCACCCAGCTGTGGTTCAATTGGCCCCAGGTATGGCTTCACTAGGCACCGCTCCAAAGGTACAAACCTTAATCCTCCGGGGCATCCACATGATGTTAAAACTTCAGGTCCACAGAATGCAAGAGCTGTGGAGGCATGACAACTTCCACCTAATTTCAAAGAATGTATCAAACAGCCTGTGGGCCCAGGCAGAGACTTGTTGCAGGGGAGGAGACACCATAGAGAACCCCCTACTAAGGCAACGACTTGGGGAGCTGTAGGAGCGAATTTGCCACTGAGATCTTAGAACTGTAGATCTACTAGGGTGCAACACCAGCCTGGAAGAGCTGAAGTGTGGGCTGAGCCATGGAAAGTCATGGAAGCAAGGCTGCCTGAGGACTTGGGGTCCCAACCCCTGTACCAGTATACACAGAATGCTGGATATGGAGTCATGGGAGATTATTCTCTAGCTTTAAAATTTAATGTCTGAACTTTTGGTGCCCACAGTCTTGTACTTGTCAGCCTCCATAACTGTAAGGAATAAATTCCTTTTAAAAAATAGATTGCCCGGCTTCAGGTATTTTGTTATAAGTAACAGAAAACAAACTAATACAGTTGTGCTGTTTTCTCTACATAAAATATAATTCTCTCAGTTTTGCCCTGATAAACTTCTATTTGTTATTTAAGTACCCATTGAATACCACTTCTGTGAAGTCTTTCTTTTTTACTCTAGGAAGAATGAATTATTCTGTCTATATTCTGGCCAAATATTTTTATGCTCTTGTACATTTTTGTTGGTATTAGCTCCTAAATACTTCACAAAAATATTTATTTCTGACCATCTTCAACACTACTACTCTTGGCAAAGCCACCAACACCTTCCATCTTTACTGCTACAGTCTTTTTCTATCTGGTTGTTTTTTATCCTTATTTGTTTCTATCCATTCTCTTTACTGCAGCCAGAGTGATCTATCACCACTCTCCAGCAAAATCTCTTCAGTGGCTTTCTTGGCTCTTAGATGAGGATTAGCATTCTTAATTTAGTATCCTACTCTCTGCCTGGCCTGGCCTACATTAGCAGCCTAATCTTATACTTTTTCTTTCCTTGTACTTTGCTCTCCATTCATTCTGGATGTTATTCAGTTTCTCAAACAGCTGTTCATGGGACCTTAGCATACGTTAATTTCTCACTCTAGAAATTCACCATTCCCCTTTTTATTTTATTTAGCTCACCTTGTCTCTGTCATCAAATCTTAGCTGAATCATCGTTTGTTCAAGGAGGTCTTTGCTGCCCTCCATGATAGACTGAGCACCTCTATTACACACTCACATAACACCATATTCCTTTCCTTCACAGACTTACCCATTTTAATGATTATTTGTATTATTCCTTTATAAATATCCATCTGCTTTACGAAATCATGTATACCATTAAAGCAGCCTTTTTTTTCTTTCACCTTGGATACCAGTTCCTGGAAGAATGCACTCAATAAATATATCTTGAATGAATAGAACGTAATATATTATGTTACAGCAAGGTTGTAAGTGCCGTCCTTGAGATCAGGGCCCATGGATCTCTCATACTGATCCCCTCAGAATCTAACACAGTGCCTGAGTTGCAATAAAGCATTGAATCCAGGGGGGTCTGTTCAAAGATGGCCGAATAGGAACAGCTCTGGTCTGCAGCTCCCAGCCTGATTGACACAGAAGACAGGTGATTTCTGCATTTCCAACTGAGGTACCTGGTTCATCTCATTGGGACTGGTTGGAGAGTGGGTGCAGCCCACTGAGGGTGAGCTGAAGCAGGGCAGGGCATTGCCTCACCTGGGAAGTGCAAGAGGTTGCAGGATTTCCCTTTCCTAGCCAAGGGAAGCCATGACAGACTACCTGGAAAAACGGGAATCTTCTGCCCAAATACTGCGCTTTTCCAACTGTCTTAGCAAAAGGGACACTAGGAGATTATATCTCGTGCTTGGCTCAGCTGGTCCCATGCCCACAGAGCATTGCTCACTGCTAGCTCAGCAGTCTGAGATTAACCTGTGAGGCAGCAGCCTGGCAGGGGGAGGGGTGTCCACCATTGCTGAGGCTTGAGTAGGTAAACAAAGCTGCCAGGAAGCTCAAACTGGACAGATCCACCGCAGCTCACCAAGGTCTGCTGCCTCTGTAAACTCCACCTCTGGGGGCAGGGAATAGAATAGCTGAACAAAAGACAGCAGAAACTTCTGCAGGCTTAAACGTCCCTGTCTGACAGCTCTTAAGAGAGCAGTGGTTCTCCCAGCATGGTGTTGGAGCTCTGAGAACAGACAGATTGCCTCCTCAAGTGGGTCCCTGACCCCCGTGTAGCCTAACTGGGAGACACCTCCCAGTAGGGGCCGACTAACACCTCATACAGGTGGGTGCCCTCTGGGATGAAGCTTCCAGAGGAAAGATCAGGCAACAATACTTACTGTTCTGCAATATTTGCTGTTCTACAGGCTCCACTGGTGATACCCAGGCAAACAGGGTCTGGAGTGGACCTCCAGCAAACTCCAACAGACCTGCAGCTGAGGGACCTGACTGTTAGAAGGAAAACTAACAAACAGAAAGGAATAGCATCAACATCAACAAAAAGGACATCCACACCAAAACTCCATCTGTAGGTCACCAATATCAAAGACCAAAGTTAGATAAAACCACAAAGATGAGGAGAAACCAGAGCATAAAAGCGGAAATTCTGAAAACCACAGCACTTCTTCTCCTCTAAAGGATCACAGCTACTCGTCAGCAACGGAACAAAGCTGGATGGAGAATGACTTTGACAAGTTGAGAGAAGAAGGCTTCAGACGATCAGTAATAATGAACTTCTCTGAGCTAAAGGAGGATGTTCGAACCCATCACAAGGAAGCTAAAAACCTTGAAAAAAGATTAGATGAATAGCTAACTAGAATAAACAGTGTAGAGAAGACCTTAAATGAACTGATGGAGCTGAAAAACCATGGCACGAGAACTATGAGATGCATGAACAAGCCTCAATAGCTGATTCAATCAAGTGGAAGAAAGGGTATCAATGTTTGAAGATCAAATTAATGAAATAAAGCAAGAAGACAAGTTTAGAGAAAAAAGAGCAAAAAGAAACGAACAAAACCTCCAAGAAATATGGGACTATGTGAAAAGACCAAATCTACATTTGACTGGTTTATCTGAAAGTGACGGGGAGAATGGAAACAAGTTGGAAAACACTCCTCAGGATATTATCCAGGAGACCTTCCCCAACCTAGCAAGGCAGGCCAACATTCAGATTCAGGAAATACAGAGTACACCACAATGAAATGAAGGAAAAAATGTTAATGGCAGCCAGAGAGAAAGGTTGGGTTACCCACAAAGGGAAGCCCATCAGACTAACAGCGGATCTCTCAGCAGAAACCCTACAAGCCAGAAGAGAGTGGGGGCCAATATTCAATATTCTTAAAGAAAAGAATTTTCAACCCAGAATTTCATATCCAGCCAAACTAAGCTTCAGAAGTGAAGGAGAAATAAAATCTTTTACAGACAAGCAAATGCTGAGAGATTTTGTCACCACCAGGCCTGCCCTAAAAGAGCTCCTGAAGGAAGCACTAAACATGGAAAGGAACAACCAGTACTAGCCATTGCAAAAACATGCCAAATTGTAAAGACCATCGATGCTAGGAAGAAACTGCATCAACTAATGGAGAAAACAACTGGCTAATATCATAATGACAGGATCAAATTCACACATAACAATATTAACCTTAAATGTAAATGGCCTAAATGCCCCAATAAAAGACACAGACTGGCAAATTGGATAAAGATTCAAGACCCATCAGTGTGCTGTATTCAGGAGACCCATCTCATGTGCAAAGACACACATAGACTAAAAATAAAGGGATGAAGATCTACCAAGCAAATGGAAAGCCAAAAAAAAAAAAAAAGCACGAGTTGCATACCTAGTCTCTGATAAAACAGACTTTAAACCAACAAAGATCAAAAGAGACAAAGAAGGTCATTAAGTAATGGTAGAGGGATCAATTCAACAACAAGAGCTAACTGTCCTAAATATATATGCACCCAATACAGGAGCACCCAGATTCATAAAGCAAGTCCTTAGAGACCTACAAAGAGAGTTAGACTCCCACACAATAATAATGGAAGACTTTAACACCCCACTGTCAACATTAGACAGATCAACAAGACAGAAGGTTAATAAGGATATCCAGGACTTATATTCAGCTCTGCACCAAGCAGACCTAATAGACATCTACGGAACTCTCCACTCCAAATCAACAGAGTATAAATTCTTCTCAGCACCACATTGCATTTATTCCAAAATTGACCACATAGTCAGAAGTAAAGCTCTCCTCAGCAAATGTAAAAGAACAGAAATCACAACAAACTATCTCTCAGACCACAGTGCAATCAAATTAGAACTCAGGATTAAGAAATTCATCCAAAAACACACAGCTACATGGAAACTGGACAACCTGCTCCTGAATGACTACTGGGTAAATAACAAAATGAAGGCAGAAATAAAGATGTTTTTTGAAGCCAGTGAGAACAAAGACACAACATACCAGAATCTCTGGGACACATTTAAGGCAGTGTATAGAGGGAAATTTATAGCACTAAATGCCCACAAGAGAAAGCAGGAAAGATAAAAAATCGACACCCTAACATCGCAATTAAAAGAGCTAGAGAAGCAAGAGCAAACAAATTCAAAAGCAAGCAGAAGGCAAGAAATAACCAAGATCAGAGCAGAACTGAAGGATATGGAGACATAAAAAACCCTTCAAAAAAGCAATGAATTCAGGAGCTAGTTTTTTTAAAAGATGAACAAAATTTATAGACCACTAGCAAGACTAAAAAAGAAGAAGAGAGAAGAATCAAATAGACACAATAAAAAATGATAAAAGGGATATCAACAACAATCCCACAGAAATACAAACTGCCATCAGAGAATACTATAAACACCTCTATGCAAATAAACTAGAAAATCTAGAAGAAATGGATAAATTCCTTGACACATACAACCCACCCAAGAGTAAATCAGGAAGAAGTTGAATCTCTGAATAGACCAATAACAGACTCTGAAATTGAAGCAATAATTATTAGCCTAGCAACCAAAAAAAGTCCAGAACCAGATGGATTCAGAGTCAAATTCTACCATAGGTACAAAGAGGAGCTGGTACCATTTCTTCTGAAACTACTCCAATCAATAGAAAAAGAGGGAATCCTCCCTAACTCATTTTATGAGGCCAGCATCATCCTGATACCAAAGCCTTGCAGAGACACACACACAAAAAGAGAATTTTAGACCAGCATCCCTGATGAACATCGACGCGAAAATCCTCAATAAAATACTGGCAAACTAAATCCAG